>NC_000002.12:155671436-155974466 GCF_000001405.40 Homo sapiens
TCCGGTCTATTGCCTATTTTTTGAATTTGGATTTTGGTTTTCTTGCTATTGAGTTGTTTGAGTTCCTTATATATTTTGAGTAATAACTCCTTATCAGATGTATGCTTTGCAAATAAATTTTCCCATTCCATGCATCATGTCTTCGTTTTGGTAATTATTTCCTTTGCTGTGCAGAAGCTTTGTAGTTTGATGTTATCCTGTTTGTTTTTGCTTTTGTTGTCTGTGCTTTTGGGGTCATATCTCAAAAAATCACTGCCCAGACCATTGTCATGAAGATTTTCCCCTATGCTTTATTCTAGTATTTTTACCATTTCAGGTTTTACATGTAAGTCTTTAATCCATTTTGATTTGATTTTTGCAACTGATATAAGTATCTGATTTCATTCTTCTACATGTGGATATCGTTCTCCCAACAGCAGTTACTGAGGAGAAAATCTTTGTCCTATTGTGCGTCGTTTTGCATCTTTGTCTAAAATCAATTGATTGTAAATTCCTGGATTTATTACTAGGATTTCTATACTAAACCATTGGTCTATGTGTTTTTTTCATGCCAGAACCGTGTTGTTTTGACTACTATAGCTTTGTAGTAGTATGATGCCTTTAGTCTTGTTCTTTTTCTCAAGATTGCTTGTCTATTTGGCAACCATTTGTTCTATATGAATGTAGGATTGTTTTTTCTATCTCAGTGAAAACGTCATTGGAATTTTGATAGGGATTGCACTTAATCTACAGATCACCTTAATATGGATGCTTTGGGTAGTATGGACTTTCGGTAGACGGATATAACAATATTAATTTTTCCAATTAATGAACACTGTATTTATTTATGTCTTCTTCCATCAATGTTTTATAGTTTTCAATGCACAGATCTTTCACCTTGGTTAAATTTACTCCTAAGTATTTTTGGTATCTATTGTAAATAGAATTTTGTTTTAAAAAATTCTTTTTTGGATAGTTCATTGTTAGTGTACAGGAACACTATTTATTTTTACATGTTAATTTTGTATCCTGCAACTTTATTAAATTTATTTATTAGTTCTAACAGTTTTTGTGGAGCTTTTAAGGTTGCCTATACATAAGAGTATGTCATCTGCAAACAAGGGCAGTTTAACTTCTTCCTTTACAATTTGGATGCTTTCTTGTTCTTGAATAATTACTCTGTATAACTCCAGTACTATGTCGAATAGAAGTGACATGGCAGGAGAGGACATCTTTGCCTTATTCTTCATCTGACAGAAAAAGCATTCAACTTTTCACCACAGCATATGATGCCAGCTTGGACTTGTAATATATGGCCTTTATTGTGTTAAGATACATTCCTTCTAGATTTAATTTGTTGATAGTTTTTTATGAAGAAGAAATGTTTAATTTCGTCAAATGCTTTTTCTGCATCTACTGAGATGATCATATGATGTTTGTCCTTTATTCTGTTGATGTGTCATATTTATTGATTTGCATATGTTGAACTATGTTTTTTTTCATCCTAGAAACAAATCTCACTTAATCATGGTGAATGATCCTTTTAATATTCTGTTGATTTTAGTTTACTAATGTTTTGTTGAGGATTTTTGCATCTATGTTCACCAGGGTTATTGGCATGTAATTTTCTTTTCCTGTAGTGTTTTCTCTAGCTTTGGTATGGAGGAAATGCTGGCCTTGTAAAATGAATTCAGAGATATTCCTTTATCTTCAGTTTTTTAAAAAAGTTTGAGAAACACTCCACAAAAATTAACTCAAAATGGATTATAAACCTAAATGTAAAACACAAAATTATAAAATTCCTGGAAGATAACATGGGAGGAAATCTACATGACCCTGGGTATTGCAATGATATTTTAAATACAACCTCAATGGCATGATTCATGAATGGAAAAAATGATAAATTTGATTTAATTAAAATACAAAACTTCTTCTCTGTCAAAAACCCTGTCAAGAGAATAAAAAGACAAGCCACAGACTAGGAGAAAATATTTGTAAGAGACATATCTAATAAAGCACTGTTGTCTAATGTATTCTAAAAACTCTTAAAGCTCAACAGTGAGAAAATGGACAACCCAATTTTAAAATGTTTGGGAGGCTGAGTCAGGCGGATTACGCAGTCAGGAGTTTGAGACCAGCCTGACCAACATGGTGAAAACCCATCTCTCCTAAAAATACAAAAATTAGCCGGGTGTGGTGGCACACACCTGTAATCCCAGCTACTCAGGAGGCTGAGGCAGGAGAATCGCTTGCACCTGGGAGGCAGAAGTTGCAGTGAGCTGAGATCACACCATTGCACTCCAGCCTGGGTGACAGAGCGAGACTCTGTCTCAAAAAAAAACAAAAAACAAAACACAAAAAAACCTAAATTGACACCTCATCACAGAAGATATACAGACGGCAAATAAGCATATGAAAAGATCACAACATCATATGTCATTAGGTAATGATATAAAACATTAAACAATAATGAGATATTATTACATACCTATTAGAATAGTCAAAATTCAAGACATTGGCAACAGCAAATGCTGGTGAAAATAGGGAGCAACAGGCTCTCTCATTCATTACTGGTGGGAATGTAAAATGGTACAGCCACTTTGGAAGAGAGTTTGGGCAGTTTCTTACAAAACTAAACATATTATCACCATACAATCTAGCAACTGTGCTCCAAAAGAGTTGAAAAGTTATATCCACACAAAAAACTGCACGTGGATATTTATGGCAGCTTTATTTATAATTGCCAAGACTTGGAAGCACTTGAGATACCCTATAGTAGGTGTGCATGTAGATAAACTTTGTTACAGCCAGAAAATGTGCTATAATTCAGTGCTAAAAATAAATGAGTTATGACAAACCCACAGCCAAAATCATACCAAATGAGAAAAAGTTGGAAGCCTTTCCCCTAGGAATTAGAACAAGAAAAGGATATTTACTCTCTCCACTCTTATTCAGCATAGTACTAGAAGTATTAGCCTAAGCAATCAGGCAAGAGAAAGAAATAAGACGAATACAAAGTGGAAAAGAAGAAGTCACATTATCTCTGTTTACTGATGACATGATCATATACCCAGAAAAACCCTAAAGATTCCTCCAAAAGACTCTTAGACTTGACAAACAACTTAACTAAGGTTTCAGAATGCAAAATCAATGTACGAAAATCAGTAGCATTTTATAACTAAAGTAGCATGGTACTGATATAAAAATAAACATATAGATCAATGTAACAGAATAGAGAATGCATAAGTAAAGCCACATATCTACAACTAACTTATTTTCAACAAAGTTGACAAAAAAATAAAATAAAATAATGGGAAAGGGCATCTTATTCAATAAGTGGTTCTGGGAAAATTGACTAGTTATATGCAGAATGAAACTGGGGACCTAGCTCTCAAAATATATAAAGATTAACTCAAGATTGATTAAAGAGCTTAACTGGAAGACCTGAAACTGTATTAATCCTAGAAGAAAACATAGGAAATTCTTTTATGGACATTGGCTTAGGCAAAGAATTTATGACAAAGACCCCAAAAGCAAATGCAACAAAAACAATAATAGGGAAATAGGACTTAATTAAACTAAAAAGCTTCTGCATAGCAAAAGAAATAATTAACAGCATAAGCAGACAACCTGCACAATGGGAGAAAATATTTGCAAATTTTGCATCCAACAAATGACTCATATCCAAAATCTACAAGGAACTCAAACAACTCATGAGAGAAAACAAACAACCCCATTAAAAACTGGGCAAAAGATATGAACAGCCATTTCTCAAAAGAAGACACACAAACAGCCAACAAACACATGAAAAAATGCTCAACCTCACTAATGATCAGGGAAATTGAAATTAAAACCACAGTGAGATATCTTATACCAGGCAGAATGGTTATTATTAAAAAGTCAAAAACAGCAGATATTGGCAGGGATGCAGAGAAAAGGGGACACTTGTACACTGTTGGTGGGAATGTAAATTAGTTCAACCTCTATGGAAAGCAGTATGGAGATGTCTCAAAGAACTGAAAACAGAACTACCACTCTACCCAGCAATCCCACTGCTTGGCATGTACCCAAATGAAAATAAATCATTATATAAAAAAGACACCTGTACACATATGTTTATTGCAGTGTTTTTCACAATACCAAAGTCATGGAACCAACCTAAGTGCCCATCGATGGTTGATTTTATAAAGAAAATGTGACATATAACACCATGGAATACTATATAACCATAAAAAGGAATATAATCATGTTCTTTGAAGTGATATTGGTGGAATTGGAAGCCATTATCCTAAGTGAACTAGCTCAGAAACAGAAAATCAAATACTGTGTGTTATCACTTACAAGTGGAAGGTAAACAATGAATACACATAAACACAAAGGTAGAAATAATAGACACTGGGGATGCTAAAAGGAGAAAGGGTGGAAGCAGGGTGACAGTAAAAAAGTTACTTATTAGGTACAATGTTCATTATTTGGATGATATGTACACTGGAAGCCCCACTCCCACCCATTGAGCAATATACCCACCTAACAAACATGCACATGTACCCCCTTAATCTAAAACAAAATAATTTTAAAATAAAATGAGATATTAAGACATAGAGGAAACTTGGATGCATATTACTAGTGACAGAAGCCAATCTGAAAAGGCTACATAGTGTATGATTTTAACTACATGACACTCTAGAAAAGACAAAACTATGGAGTCAGCGAAAATATCAGTGATTGCCAGGAGTTACGGTGGTAGAAGGCACAAATAGGCAGAGCACAGAGGATTTTTAAGGGTGCTCAGAATGCTTACTGATACAAGATTAGTCATTTTTCTAGTCTTCTGAGTGGAGAGACAGATGTGTGTTTGTGTGGGCTTATGTGTGTGTGTCAGTGTTTCTTAAGACATAAAGTCTACTTTTATTAATGACTTTAATTCAAAAGCAGGATTTTAACTTTTCTAATTGGGTTCCTTAAATATGTTTCCCTTTTAACCACAATGAAAATCCTGCCTCTTAATGATATAATTGTTCTTTTGCTATATTTCACAATATATACACAAGTATTTCAGGATAACTTTAACATTACAACTGAAGACATGGTCAAGAAAGATAATTTAGTATTTTTTGCAGGCCTTTTTGCTGTTAGATATATACCATGCCAAAGATAGAAAGACAAATTAGTTTATTTTGTTTTATAATTTATCAACTATTTACATTGTTCCAGAGTTATGTCTATAAATCTATGATATATTTACAAAGAAGTCCAGTCTCTACCACTGTCCCAGTCACTCTATTTCTTCCCCCACATGCAGGTGTGTGTGTATATATATATATATATAGACAAACATATATATATATATAGCATATACACATATATAACATATATAGCATATAAACATATATATACACTTTAAAAATGTTATCTTTTGTATACTCATTTTAATATAACTAAATATACTATATATGTGTGTGTATATATACATTTACCCATTTTTAAGTGGTAGCATGCTATATTCCTAACACATATACTTTATATTATATACGTATTTGCTATACACATACCATCTTGTTTATTTCTTCCAAATGGTGTTTTCATGCAACATCATATCCTGGAAATTATATTCCATTTTTTTTATTCAGCTGCATAGTATGCTATTATTTATTCGATCAGTTTTCTATTGATGGACATATGTGTTATTTTTTAATCTTTTGCTGTTAAAATTAGTAAAGTAACCCCACAAATAATACATCTACTATGTACCCACAACAATTAAAAATTAAAACAAAGTAATTTTTTTATATTTCTTTCAGTTTATTACTGATATGCTTTAATGTATCTCTAAAAGTGCTGCAACTACATATATGTGCCTTCTGAAGAGATAAAATACAAAGCTCAGAGTAGCGGTTAAATCTGAATGTAATCAAACTTCTAAATATAAGTAGAGGTTTACAATAAATACAAGGGAAATTAACCAAGTCAGAATGTAGACAATTCTTCAAGGTAAATGTCGGTGATTTAAAATCAATGGCAAGAAAAAAGTAGAATAAGCAGTTATATATTTTTGAAGATTTAAAAGGCTTAATTGACTAAGTACAACCTATAAACTCTATTTAGATCCTTAGCCAAAAACTGTCTGAAAAATAGAGCTCATGACAAAAATGTTAAACATTTGAACAGGGCCCAGTTTATTAGATGATATTAAGGAGTTGTGTGTTTAATATTATTTGATTTTAAAAATGCTTTAACTGCCAGAGATACATACCAAAATATTTAGGGTAAAATAACATTTTTGAAATTTGTTTTAAAATACTACAACAAAAAATGACATATTAAAAATATTATTTCTTAGTAACACTTCCCTTAGTATTTATGGGTGAAATAAGTTTTTTAGGATATGCTTTTGATGTATTCCAAAAAAATGGAGAGATACAAAACACAAATTTGTAAAATATTTATAATGGTTAGATTTGGGCTATAAAGATTCATTATAAGAGCCCCTCTCCATAAAAATTCTAGGCCATTATGATTTGGATTAATATAAGGTGGTCATAATCTCATAGGTCTCATGAGTCTTCAGTCTACTAAATGTTTGACATTTCATTGGATTTGTGATAATTTTCACTACTAATGTTGTCAAAGAAGGACTGGATATTTTTCCTTCAGTTACCTATTCTTTGTTGGTCACAGTTTGATGTCTGATAGAAATGCTTAACAAAATTGTACTTGATTTTCGAAAACTAGCAAATTATTTCAAAATTCACACATTCCAATTAACAAGTTGTGATTCATTTGTCTGTCACTCAAGTAGCAACACGGAGAAGGGAAAAAGAAAGATGAGATCGACTTCAGAACATCAATGATACTCAGTTTTACAGCATAGCACTGCTAGTACCATACTGGCCAAGTTAGGTTCCCCAAGTACTCCCCAGTCACTCACTGTTCACACTTCCCTCTGAAATGTGTACTTCTTTTTTTGTTATTGCTCTTGTTTTATAGGTAATTCATAGCTACCCAAAGTGTTTTTAACAGTGTGCAGCACTACTTTTTTAGATACCTATCAGGTCAGATGAATTTATATTTTCTCTCTGTTAACTTGTGTAATGATAATTAGGTAACATATAGTTAACTGATAATTTAAACTAGTTAAAAATTCACCCTCACTTGTTTTTGTCTAATAGTAGTATGAATTGATAAGCATTTTGTTTGTTTTAATCACATAGAGCTACACCTATTATTCTGATACACAATATACAGATGCTTCCAAGATAAAGTCCATGTATCAGCTTAGTTCAAATATTATTAAGCAAACTTCAAAAAAATGAACATGTTTCTTCTACTAAATGTGTTAATAAATCAAAATATCAATTTCAACAGACATATTTTATATTTCCACAAATAATTATGAGGGAATTCAGAACTAATAAAGTTCCTATTTAAATATTAGCAGTTTATTAAAAATTCAATAGAGAAATGAAAAAGGAAGTTTTGTGATGTATCAAGAGCACTAGTATTTTGTTATTATCGTTATTTTTTAAAATAACACAGTCTCAAGTTAACATGCCTTTCTATTTCATCTCTTTGCCTTGAAAATGACATAGTAGAGATATGTTAAACATTTTTAAAATAGTTGAAGATCATAATATTTTTGTTTTGGTTTCTAGTGTCCGGAGTTCAAATTGAACTCCAGTATAAATAATATACTCTAGAAACAATTCTTAGACAGCTAGGTGCACAAATGCTACTGTTAATCATATGCTTCAGCTCCTTGAAATTGTGTACATATGCATGTAAGTAATCAGGCAGATATTTATTTATTAGTAATAATGAACATTTTCTGAAAACAGACAATAGTATGTTTTGAACATGCTAGAACTTTAGCTTTTTCTTAGGTTTCCTATTTTTAAATAAAACTAAAAAATTATACTCATATGTAAGAGGTCAATCACATTTGGCAGGATCACTTAAGATATAACAATGATATAATATATAATTTTATATATTTTATAATAACAATGATATGAAGACAGTAATGATTCAGATTTTTAAAATTAACTACAGACATTGAGATACATAATTGTTCTTACTTCATACCTTATTTAACGTTATAAACACTATTTCTGTTATAAATAGGTGTCTCAGCTGCACGTTGCAACTTGGAGTAGACCACTGAGCCGTCCTCCTAAATATTATGACATGGAGAAAATCACGTCGTACTTTAACCTATCAACAAAGGAGCAAAGCAATTACAGAGCTAAACAGAGTCCAGGAAGACCCAATAAAGAAAAATCCAAGAAAATTTGGTGAAAATTCTTAAGGGGCCTTCCAATGTTTAATTTAGGCCTGAGGCATGATTAATATTCTGATTCTAATTCAAAAGACTGAACCACAAAGGTACATCTTTTGGGTATTTTTAATAAGCGTAGTACAACACTCTGTGAATTAACAGCTGGTCTGACTGGTATTTTACTTCCTCTTTGCTTACTCAAGTGAAGCAGTTAATATTAGTATAATCATCAAACTAACACTAGTCCGGCAGAGGGACAGATTTTTTTTTCTAGTGTTGTGATGTAGAATACAAATTTTAAAATACAAAAAAAATAAAAACCCACAGCTGTATTAATATTAATCAAATCATTGTTTTAGATCTAAAAAACATTAGAAGTGCATTTCAACAAAAAAGAAAAATTAAAATTTTAAAACCGTATTCCATCTTAAAAAAAATTTCAAAGGAAAAATAAAATATCAAATACTTAAATAATTTAATGAAATCGATCAGATGTTTATGAGAAATGTTGAGAAGAATCATGAAAAAGTGATAAGAATAATTTGTCAGTATTATTGCTAAAAATAAGTAATAACTTCAGAATAAAACTCTATTTTCATAAAACTGTATAAACAATTACTATGTATTTTATGTATACCCGAACAAAAGTTACACTTTTTTGGTCAATGAAGAATAATATTTAGACCATGAAGCATTAATTTTCATAATTTTGTTGTTTGCAGTGTTTCAATCCCTTTTATCATCTGATGTTTTGACATGCTCATTAAGATTCACGGCAAATGAGATATTCATATTTGCTGAAAACAAAAATTTTTATTTCTTTGATTTTAATTTTTAATACATTTGCAACTGAAGCATATTTGAAGCAAAATTTGCAACATAATTTTTTTATAGTTTTTAGGCAGGTCATCTTCAATTTTCATAAAATATTCTTTTACAAAATCTCATTTTGAACTATTCTTTGTAAACGTAGGACTTCTAACCATTGTGCTTATATATGATTCTTCAATTTACTAAATGAATCTACAATTTATACATTAAACCGCTCATTAATGACATTAAACTCACCTGTAAAATATTTAGCCTTGGCTGTTTGCCATTACATTTACAGTAAAAGACAATGCATTATTTTTATAGAACATTACTAAATATAAACTAAAATGTTATTACTGTGCTCCTAGTTAAAATCATCATGGCAAAAATAAACTTCATAATACTCAAATATATACACTAAATTATAAATTAACTCTTAATGTTTCGCTTTTTATTCTACAATCAACCATTTTAAAAGAAATTTAAAAGATAGCAGACTTAGGTAAGACTATATCTTTTAAGCAACACGTTTAATCACATTACTAGACATGCAACTGTCTATTTAGTGAATTAGGGCTATCATATATGTCAGAATATTATGCACAGTAAGAAACATTTGAAATGTTTTTAACGTTTCCCTAACTGTTAAGTGCAAAGTCTTTGACTATGAAGCATCAGCGGCATGATGAGTCTAATGACTATTTCCATTCTCTCCCAAGAATATATCTCCATTGGAAGAAAACATGCATATACCCTCCTTTCCAAAAACAAAAATAAACAAACGCAAAGTAATATTCATATTGGTTTCAGTTCTATAATCATAATGGATACTGATCATCAGGTGTTGTATACACAAGTAGTAGAGAATACAGCAAATGACACACTGGTGATTCTGTTCTTGATTAAGGGATTTGCTTTCAATTTTTTAAAACTCTATGCAACCAAAGAAAAATGCACCTGCAACCAAATTGTGTCCCAAAGTCATTGATTTGCAATTCTGGGGAGTGAATGGTCTACGTCAAAAGCTACCCAGGTATACAACTCCTGAATATCAGATATTAGCTTCTGGGCTTGACTGATAAAATAAATTAAATTACCAACTACTACAAGGGACATTTGTGATGAGCTGCTGAGGAGTCTTGACATCAAATATGGCTTTACTGAAAATAGATAATTTGTTTATTGGAGACATATAGAAGAAAGATTAATTATGAAGTTTAGAAAAACAGAAGGATAGAGAAGAGAGAATAATAAAAGCTGAATCATGTTTCTTTTCTCCCCCAAAATATTCCAACCAGAGCTTTAACACAGGTGGATAAACTTCTTGCAATTATGAAAAGACTCTGTATACTAAGAAAATCTACATTCTAGTGGTACTGCTTTACCGGGTGCCTTGGAAGTGCCTCATAATTTCAGAACTCAGTTTCCCTAGCTATAAAATACCAACGTGTGTTAAAGCTATATATTTTCTACTATCTTTTCCAGCTCTAAATCCTATATATGCTATTTTCCTGCCATAATATTAATGGTATAAATAGAAGTTAGATTCTCCTTGCTACAAAAATATATTTAAGGAAAATTTGCAGAATTAAAAGGAAAAGGAAGGGGATTGGGCACAAAGAAACAAAATGGTATATCTTCTTATATGTTTCTGGTCTCAAAGGATAGAAAGTCTCTGAAAAGATTTTCAGACTTGAAAAATTCTTTATATTTTGTGACTTGTGAAGAGCATTTATATTTTATCAGTTGTTTTAATATTAAGTATTCAGACAAGGTGGTTTATTGCACATTAAAATAAAAATTTATTTAATCTTTTCAATGAATTTTTATTCCAAAAGTATAATCTTCTATTTTACTAGTAAGAACAGAAGATTCTGTTAAGGGAAATTTACAGGGATGTTCATAAGGTCACATCTCTTCTATCCCATAGATCATATTTCTATTGGCAGAAACATAGTTGAGAAAGACTCAGAGAATTTTCGATATGGAAGAGTTTTCAAAGACCATATTCAGGAATTGGTGTGTTTTTCTTATAAAACTGCCTTATTTTAATATAGGACTTTCTATAGTTTACAACCAGCTGTAATTACTGAAATCAAACTAGTAGTGTATCTGAAATATACTAAAATAATCAATAAACAGTAAGAATTAGCCATCACTGAATTGTACAACATTGGCTTCCTCTTTATACTATCATTGGCTTTGCTTCTCTTCTGACTGACTGTTCTAACTAGTGTTTGAACCTTGCAAGAACATTTATTTATAAATTAATTTAAATTCAATAAACTTCTATATTCCAGAATAATTGTAAACTCTTATGTAATATCTTAAAGAAAAAAGTTGCTGAAGTAAAACAAATTCTATTGCCTTCCATAATTGTGTTTGTTAACAAAAATCATATTTGTATGAAAACCAGACTTCATTTACTGCAATTAATTAAAGAGCATACCTTGGCATACATGAGGTATTTCTCATGCTAAAGTCAAAGGCTATTTGCTAACTTTTGGTATTATGGAAAGACGTAGTCCAACAGTTGATTTGGATAGTAACTGAACTGGGCATTAAGAATGCCAAAATAAGGGACTGGCAATTCTAATCAGGGGAGTAAAAACCACTGGAGAATGAATGTTGAGGAAAGCATAGTATTTTCTTAATTTTTTTTTACTGCTTCATACTTCTGATTCCAGATATGAAGAGAAAGAATAGGTGAGAAATCTGCATAATTTGGAGGCAATAGCTAGAGTCGCTGAAGAATGTGTACATAAATAAGACAGCGGTAGCAGATGCCAGAGGAGGGGAGATGATGAAGAGGGATGGTAGGCAGAGCCACCAACAGAGCAAACTGAGTTTAGAATAGTAGGTCCATAGACTTCTAATCCTGGGGAATAAAAAGTTTTAAAAATGCAATAATCCAAATAAATGTCATGCATTAAGGTGTTTATATTTGCTATTCGTTCATTGAAGAATACAATTTTATTGAATAAGTGATTGGTCAATAAGCAATTATAAGGCAACCAAGTTAGAAGCTGTGGAGATAGAAATTAGTAAAACACAATCCCTCCCCTCCAAGACTGAAAAAGACATTGTCTCTGCCCTTTAGAAGCTCACGGTTTAATTGGGAAGATAGAAATAGGAGTGTTATGTTGGAGATAAGGGCAAAATGCTATGGTCACCCAGGCAGGAGAGTAATAAACTCTAAGTGGGTTGCCATTTGAGCAGAGTCTTACAAAAAAGAATAACTATTTTTCCAGGCAAAGGAATGAGAGGAACAGCAGAATAGACATAACGGTGCGTAACATATTTGGGAAACATGAGGGGAGCAGTTGCAAAGGTTGATGATGAAATGACGAGCTGATGACAGGGACCAAAGTCTGCAAATTACATATTATATGGCTCTTATCTCACAGGGCAGTGATCTCAACCGTATCTGACTCAAAGGTCTATTTTAATAACAAGTATATACTTTATATATATGAAATATTATAAAATATGTGATAATCTCCACTTAGCTACCTGGAAATAACATTTATACATATTATAACAGGTATATAACAAACTAAAAACAAAAAGTTAATATAATGACAAAATAAAAAGAAAATATTTAAACAAAATAGTGTAAATGTTAAGGCATAAATGTCAGACATGATTGCATTAGACCTGATAAAGAATTCAGATGCTTGCACTTATATGGGGAACCACTGTGAATTTAATGCCTATAAATATAGGCTCATACAGATGTGTTGCATTGGCAATGCAAATAACCACCGACATGGTTGCTAAAGGTGATGTGATTTTCCAAAATAATAATTTTTTAAAAAATTCCCTCTATTTGCATTGTGGTTGCATTTCTGGAAAATGTTGCAAATAAAACTGCAAAAGAAAAATGCCTTTTGCTTATTTAGGGAATCAAGTCCAGTGCTTGTTGTTATTTTTTATTTGTTTTTCACCCAGTTGCATATTCAATGATTCTTTGGAAAGTGGTTAAGGACTTATGTAACAAACTTACATTTAACAAACTTAAAACAGTTGATCTATCCTCCCTCAGGAAAAATCATCCTTGATCAGGACTGTGCTATGAACTACACCTAAAATCCTTCTCTGCTCCCCTTCCCAGCCACCAAATTCTAAAAGTCATCGCAAAAAATGCCCTCTCCAATGTCAAACCCTGGCCTCCAGCTATGAGTGATTCCTTAAGGACATAGATCCTCAAAATTTGAATCACATTTACCTCTGTAAAAGTTAAGTTTTGGGCCTACACATCCCATATGTGTGTACTGTATTTATAAATTATGTACACGTACTACCGTACTAATTATATAATGGGGATATTTTGAGACATATATAAAGATATTTATTAAAGAATGAGATAAAAATTAATATTTTTCCAATATTTTTAGACACTCAAGTCATGTTTTCTGACTTTTTTGGGGATAATTTCAATTTGTAAACCACAGCTCTGTGATAACAGAGTGCCAACGAGGGCAGGTGAGTCCTGGCATAGCATGAGAAGATGAATGTTTTAATGAAAGGCACATCTCTATCTTAACACTGCATGAGGTAGAAGGGAGGGAGGGTAGATCAACTGTTTTAAGTTTGTTACCTGTAATCTGGATAAAATTTCAGGAGAAAGTTGATGCAATGTGAAAGGATTTATAAGAGTGGCAATTGAGAGAAAATGTTGATAGTATTTAGAGTTATTCTGTACTAAATGAAAAGGGTATTGATCATTAATTTATTTTTATATTAATCCCTCCTTTTCTAAAAATAAGATTTATTAAATAATCTTTAGTCATGTGTAATGGAAAAATATGTACAAAATATATAAAAATATATACAAGCTTTCTAAGCCCTCCATCAGTCATGATAATCTGCCCCTTTCCCACCATTAACAATACACAAGCTATTATTCTGAGTTTTAAAAGCTAAATATGATTTTTTAAAATAGCTAGAACTTTAAGCTTGAACTCTACCAACTGAGGCTCTTTTCTTCTTTAGATTAAGGGCTAATCTACAGATAGGAGTCGGAGTGACTTACTTTAAAGCCTCTCTTATACGGACCACCATATTTCATTCTTGCCTTCATTAGAATTACATTTTATTATCAGTACCATGATTTAGGAGATAAATTTTTTCAAACCATATGTATATATATAAAACGAAAAAAATTTACCTCCTAAATCATGGTACTGATAATAAAATATATATATATATTTTTTAAACCATATATATACACAAAATGTTTTGGTCACTTTGTCCTTCCCTTTAGCTTTTAAAGGGAAGGACAAAGTGGCCAAAACATTATATATATATATATGCTGTATATATATAAACTACTATGATATTGCAGTTTTATCTTCACCAGCTTTTTAAAGATATAATTCACATACAGCTGACTCATTAAAAGTGTATATTTCAGCGGTTTTTTAGTATATTCAGAGTTATACAACTATCACCACAATGAATTTTATATCATATTCATCACCCAAGAGAAAAACCCCACACTCATCAATTATCACCCCCTTCACTTCAAACCCAATCTCCCCAGGCCAAGGCAACCATTAACCTACTTTCTGTCTCTATAGCCTTGCTTAGTTTGAACATTTCATTTAAATATTATTATACAATGTGACTTACGTGACTTGTTTTTGTTCACTTAGCAGGTTTTCAAGGTTTATGCTATACATTCATTGTAACATGCATCAGTTCTTTATTCTTTTTTATTGTCAAAATAAAATTTCATTATATGAATATACCACATTTATTTATCAGTTGTTGGAAATTGGGTTGTTTGCGTTTTTTGTCTACTGTGAATAACGCTGCTACAAACATTCCTGTATACATTTTTGTATGGCTCTTTCAATGATGGCTCTTTTTCCCTGTCTCTTTCCGTATTTCTCCCTGTTAAATTTCTATCTGGTGGCCAGGCACCGTGGCTCACGCCTGTAATCCCAGCACTTTGGAAGGCCGAGGCGGGCGGATCACTTGAGGTCAGGAGTTTGAGACCAGCCTGGCCAACATGGTGAAACCCATCCCTACTAAAAATACAATAAATTAGCCGGGTGTGTGGTGGGCGCCTGTAATCCCAGCTACTTGGGAGGCTGAGGCAGGAGAATCGCTTGAACCCGGGAGGTGGAGGTTGCAGTGAGCCGAGATCGCACCACTGCACTCCAGCCTGGGCAATAGAGGGAGATTCAGTCTCAAAAAAATAATAATAATTAAAAAAATAATTTCTAACTGGTCTACTGTTGTCCATTTTGCTCTCATAAGTCTACCAGCCCCTTCTCAATTGCTTTCCACCAAAAATCTCCATTGCTTTAGACAGTGTCCTTAGGCTTGTGCTTTCCCACACTCTGTCCCAAAGGAAGTCAATCTCCTTAGAAAGAGTTATGGAACACTTTGCTCTTGTGTCCTGCCGCCTCCTATATGGTATCTCTATATCTGCTCCTCTGAATCCTTGCTCTGGATCTGGGGTGGCGACATCAGTCTGCTTCTTTAAGAGTGACAACTCAGTCTACTAGTGGAACACTGGATGTGGGTAGTAGCCTCTAGTCTTCCCATCTTGGCTTTCACAGGATGGAACCCATCGCCCTATGAGCAAGCTGCAGCAATGACAATGAGAGCCCAGTATTCTTGGCCCGCCACTCCTGGAGTAGATTTCCTGCCCTATATGTAGGAGTTGGATGGACAAAAGAGTCCCTGGACCTCTCTGTTGCTCTTGCCAAGAAAGAGCTTCTGCAATATCAAACTTGGGAGAGTGATTACAAATGCTGGTGGCCTGGCACGCCTGGGAGAAACCCTAGCCCTTGACTGGGTACTGGAGGCAAAGATCTTGGCTATACCCTCTCAGAGTAAAGTTCCAACTTGCTGAGCTGGTAGGGGGAAGCAACATGTGGAAGTTTATAGTACAGTTTTGTAATTTTGAAGATTCCAATTTCTCCTTCCCCAAAATAGACCTCCTTCTCTTTTTCAGCTTAGGTAGACTCTTTGAGATCCTCCAAGTTTGGAGACAGGGATAAACAAATATTGAAGTAAACTAAAAATAACTCTCTCTACTGGAATGAAGAGTTTGAAGAAACAACCCACTTTTATTTGTCTCTTAAACATTTTCAGGTTGAGAGAAATTAAAGACTTAAATAAATGGAAAAGTGTATCAGGTTCATGAACTGGGTGACTCAATATTAAAACATCATTTTTTTCCTTAAATTGATGTCTAGATCTAATGCAATCCAAACTAAAATACCAGAAGACTTTTTTGTAGTATTTATTAAGTTGAATCTAAAATTAAATAGAAATGCAAATAACCTAGAAAAGCCAAAAGCAATTTTGAAAGATAACAATGTTGGAGCACTTATACTATAAAGCTACAGTAATCAAAACAGTGTGTTTTTTGTTAAGACACACATATGTGTCAATGGAACAAATTAGAGTCTAGAAAAAAACCACAATTATGACACTTTTGACAAAAACGTAGGCAATTCCATGGAGAAAAAGTAGTTTTTTCAACAAATAGCCTTAGAACAGCTGGATATGCATATGAACTTCAATTCTTAATTCACACAACAAACAAAATTTAGCATGAAATAGAACATAGACCTAAAAATTAAAATTATAAATATAAAATTTCTAGAAGAGAACACAGTAGGAAATCTTTGCACACTTGGACTACGCAATGATTTACTAGGCAAGCCACAAAAAGCTGAGTCCATAAAAGGAAAATATTGATACATTTTACTTTATCAAAATTTATCTAAGAATCTTTCAGCTCTTAAATAAATGGAAAGGGAAGCCAAAAACTGGGAAAAAATATTCACAATGCATAAACTGATGAAAAGCTTATATTCAGAATATAAAAAGCATGTTTACATATCAGTTACAAGAAGACAACTCAATTAAAATTGGGAAAATGATTTTATTTTTCACAAAGGATGGTACACAAATGAATGATGAATACAAGAAACAGTGTTCAACGTCATTAGCAATCAGGAAAATTCACATTAAAACTGCAGTGAGATTCTACTATAAAATCACTAGAAGAGCTAAAATTAGGACTGAAAATATCAATTGCTGATCAAAATATATAGTAACTGGAACTTTCATACATTTCTGGTAGAAATGTAAATTTATGCACTTTGGAATAGACTGGCAGTCTTTCATAAAGACACATACACACTTACCAAATAAAGTTTGTGTTTAAATTAAAATAATAGTCAAACCAAATAAAAACAGTAATCCAAAGCACTACATACCAAATTTTAAAACAGATTTGATAGATTCATATTAAGTGGATTTGATATAGTCATATTTGACATAAACAAATTCAAAATACAGAATTTTAATAGGACTTGCTATTGCTTAGTGAGTCGACATCACATAACTCTAATACTCTAATCTCTGAGGAATAATTTTTAAAATCACTGTTTCCTGGTGACATTATTTCTAAGCCTTTATACATTTATGACCTTGTCATTATTCCTATTAAATTTTGGGGATTATATTGATTTTTAGTTTTTTTGGTAAAAGTGTTATTTTAGATTTCATTTATTTTCAAAACTTCCAACTAAAGTTCCTTAAACTTTTTTTGGATCACATGCAGCTATAAAATATTATCAGTTTCCAGAAAAATACAACAAATTGCAAGTACACTATGTTTAAGATGTAATTTTAGAAGGCCACTGGTCCCCTAAAGCACCTCTATTTATCTCCTAGAGAACCATGAACTATAAAATAATGATCTATGATTCAAATACAATTTTGAAATGTTGAAAATATGAAAGACAGGTAAACACAGTTTCAAGATTTTCTTCAGCATACAATGCTTATATAAGTATCATAGATCTAATTTAATGAAATACTAAACAAAGCATCTTATCACATAGCATTAAGCAGTTCCTAAGGAGCCACAGTACACATTACTCTTAGAAGAAATCTTGGATGGTGACTGGAAGGACCACATCTAAAATCAATGGACTTTAGTTGAAATTCTGATCTACAACTGTAGGCTCAATTCCCCTATCTGGGATTCGTGAATAGTTAACTATACCAATCTCTTTATTTGGTGTTAGAAGTATGTGAAATAATATAAAGTTACTTAGTATAATAATGGCACATATAAAACATTTAGTACATGTTAACAATACTTATTAGCACATACTATGAATGTTCTCATTGGTGATGTGAATATATACTCCAAAGCACCAAATTCCTGTTTAAATCCTACAAAGAATCTTCCAAAGACACCAAGTTTTCATAATTTCAGTGTTCTTTCTAAGTCGTTGCTTTTCACTATTACTTTTACATTTATGTAACAAAGGAATACTATTTTTATTCTGTTCTGTAGTGTTTGATATTGCACACATTTTTTTCCTTACATTATTGTCGGACAAGAGAACTCTGATTATGCACTGTTCACACAAAGCTTCCTTGTGTAATATTAAGATAGATCATTTGCCAAAAGAATAACCTCACCAAGAGGCCAAAGCATGGGACAACAAAAAAGTCTTTATGTAGTGATTGGTTCACAGGCATCCTGTGCCTTGAGGCGTGATTCAAATTTCCTCACTGAATTATATCTGTACATCTCTCACGCATATCCACATCCCTCACAAATCAACTTCCCTAGCTTCCAGAATTCATTAGGGATCTTATCCTCTCTCTAAAATAACTACAACTCTAATGCGTTCCCTGTTTATTTTCAACATAGAGCAAAGAGGAGCTGAATATTTAAGACCTTAGTTGTTAGACATGTTCGTAATAAAAGATTAAAGAAAAATAGAACAGAAAATTTGGATACAGAATACATCAGGCTTTTTTGGTTTAACTAAAGTCACTCAAGTTGTAAATTTAAGTGATTGAAGTTCTAAATAGAATAATAATTAAGATTTTTCAAAATGCAGAACTAGAAAAGAGAAACCTGGAAATTATTCCATCAAAGCTTTAACCTATAAAGCTTTAATTATATTCAGGATTTGAGGTTAGAATGATGAAGAATGCCTCCTTCTTAAATTAGGTTGAAGGTTTAAATCAAACTCAACAATTTCAGCAGTGCCCCAATAGATCTTAATGTCACATAGCTTTTTGCTCTTCATGTTCTTTTCTTTATTATTGCATTGCCTCATTAACTCTCTTCTGTCCAAAAATAATAGACCGGAGTAGGAGGGCTAGTGATTATTGAAAACCTAGGGGTGTTCAGTATCAATACCCAAAACTTAGTATACATCTTCTTAACTTCAAAGGAATATCATACTCATATACAGAAAAATTAAGAGCTTTTATATATAACTCCTTGTACCTCCAATTAAAAATGTGTGTAGTTTATACCACTTTAGGTTTTGTTGTTTATAAGCCAATTACTGGAAAAATTATCAAATTATAACCTAGCCACTATAAATAAGTCTGATCCATCCAAATAAACATGCAATATGAGTATATAAATGGATGGTTGGTATTGGTTCCTCATTTCTAGAACAGTTGTGTTTTGCATCAGAGCAATGAACTCTGCTTTCGTTTTCCTAGTTTTGCTAGTCATGTCTGCGTGTTCCCATTCTCTTAACTTCCTTATTCAAATACTTACCAACTATTGTCAATTGTACATTTTAAATATCTCCAGATATGCACACTTTCCTCTGTTCTTTCAGGGTCTTACTATTTCTTGTTGTTTGGATTATAGCAACATCTTCCAAATTGATGTTCTTTCTGCATGACTTGGTTCCCTTCTATCTATTCCCAAGATCAGAAGAATCTTTCTAAATGCAGAGATGATCAAGTCACCTCTGTTCTTCATACTTTAATGGTGGCATTAAAATGGAATTGTTAATTTCTACTTTCTGTATACTTTTATTTTTTGTACCGATGCACTCTAGCCTCAAAAAAGCAAAAATATACCAATTTTTACTGTACGAATAACAAAGTTCAATCACTTTACAATGACAATTAAGGACTTTGATTTGATCTTTTCTTATCTTGTCAATACTGACACACACCACCCCTGACTGTCTAGCTTAAATTTTGTGTAGTTGTTAGAATGTAATAATATCCTGTGAATCTCTGTACCTTTGGCACTCTCGTTATGATTAAAAACCTTTTCTTCTTTTTTTCTTGAATAACTCCTAAGTGTCTTTTAAGATTCTGCTCAGGCAGCACCTCCTACTCTAGTCAAAAACAGATGTGCAAGTTCAAACAGCAGTTTAAATGTTTCTCATAGACATCCCAAAACAACTCAAGGGCAAAGACTATGCCTTACCAGTCTTCGCACAGCACCTAGTATCTACTAACTGCTCTCTAAATAGATGGTAATAAATGAAGACATGCTTGGCTCTCTTTCTGAGTTTTCACTCTACACCTTAGAACACCAAAGCCCGTACCTTACTTTGGATAGACCCATCTGGCCCTGCCTTGACAATCTATATCAAACATATTTCTTAGAGTTTGCTAAAGCTGAAGTTTGAATTTTGTGTACTAGAGCAGAAAAGAAAATGAATTTAGATTTATAATTTAGGCATTAGGAAACAATGAAAAGTTTAAGTTTAATTTTAATTTTAAAATAACAGATTTGCATATTGGCATCATCACTCTGATAACAGTGTGAAAAACTGATTAGATAAGGAAGACAATGGTGTCAAGGTAATTAATTTAGAGGCTATTTCAATAGTCAGGAGAGAGATAATAAGTACATGGATGATATTGGATCAGGAAGGAAAGAATCAGATTTGAGACACTTAGGAGGTAAAATCACCAACTGTTCACTGGAGGATATAGGGATGATTTAGAGTCACAGAAGTTCCTAGATTTCAGGCTTTCCCAATCACTGCCAAATGAGAAAAAGAGGAAGAAATTTTGGTGTCAGTGTATGTGGCAGCAAGTGAGCAGAGGAGATAATCAGTTCTGTTCTGAACTTGTTAAGTTTGAGGTGTATATGGGACATTCAACAGGAGGATTAGAGTATGTATTTAAATGTATGAATCTGAAAATCTGGGAATGGACAGGCCTGTAGATAAATATTTGATAATACAAAGCCTACAACTATTGTTTGAAATTATCAGAGTAGATGAAATTTTCAATGAAAATGTAGATTTTTCTCCAAGAAGTCCAGACTGTATTTCTTCTGGACTATATAACTAACGAAATTGAAAACTGATTTACACAGCAGTGCAAATAAAAGTTAGAATAGTTACCATTAAAAAATAATAATATTAAGCAGATTCATTGCATTGCTGTATACACAGAGTTTCATTTTCTGACTTAAGTCTTGCACTTCAGTTCAATGTGCCCTAATGTGATTCAACATTTTGCTTTGAATGTTGTAAAGCGTATTTATACCACAATCAAAATAATTTCTTCATCTTTGTCTTTAATCCAGAATAATTTTTTGTGATTGGCACTTCTTTATTTTATCCAAATTCCCTCCTTTGGGATTAGTGTGTAAAGGTTGATAAGGGTCAAATGATGTGTGGGTTGAAAGTAGTTTCATGATTCATGGGAACTATTAAACTATGCAAAATTATCACTCTGGCACAATGAGTTTCTTATGAAAGCCTTCTTAATGCAAAAAGGAAAATGGAACATTCCATGGATTTTCCATCTCAAAAATATGCTAAGAAGTACATGGAAAATAGTCACATAACAGTTTCCAAATAATAGCCATATATCTCTGGTATCATGCAAGCATTTTTTTTTCCACTGTTGCCTGGTTCTCTTGTAATTCTGATAATGCACTGCCTGACTCCAGCCTTATTTAAATTTGATTTGTTTCTAAAGTGTGTGGTCAATTTTGAACAATTAGAATAATAATATTTTGTACATTTGTTCAGGGGTTTGATGTTTATAAAGTTATTTCTTATAGATTATCTCATTAAACATACAAGCCATACAGGTCTATAACTATATGTTTATAACTATAGGTTATTCTCTGGCAAAAATTGTTTTAAATTATATTTAAACTTAAATATAATTTAAATTGAATTAACTCTTCTGACTACAACCACACAAATATGTAGCCATTTTTAATTTATTTCTTTTTTATTCAAATATTTTGGAGTTTTACAAATTAAATGAATTAATATTTACAAGGCACTTAAAATAGTTTCTAATAGATGATAACCTCTTATTGAGAGTTAAATAAACAAAAATAAAATAAATAAGTTAACTATCTTCAAGAACATTTTATGAATCTTATTATTTTGCTTGATCTCCATTTTTACCACTGTATCCCAGGGTCTCAACTTATCTGCTTGGCTTATTTTAGCCTCTCCTTCAGATTTCCCTCTCCAGAAGCCAACTAAAGAGTTGCCACTAAATTTAATGTTATTACATTCCAACCATGTAAATCTTCTTCTATAAAATGACTTCTATATAAATTTCCAAATCCTTATTATAGATTTCAAATGTAATCAGCCAGCCCTACCTAATTACCTATCACCTTTTTTTTGAGCAATATCTTCTGCTGTCTTGACATGAAGCATTCAAGACATTGGGGGGAAGCACACTATTCTATCCCTCTTAGTGACAAGCTGGTCAGGTCTAACTCAACTGCCACCTTTTCCAATGAAGACATAAGCTGATTGTTATAGTCAGAAAGTAGGTTTTCTTCCTTTTTACTCTGATGAAACTTATTGTTTCAGGTTCAAAAGACATTCATCACTCAATGTGGAGTGTAATGGATGTGTTGGTATGATCTGTCTTGCTTAGCAGAGTAGAAGCTGACTAAGGAATTACTGAGACTTGGCAAGTTATTTATTCACACTTAGTTTCCTGAATGTCGAATTGGTTCAAGAACAACCTATGCTGGATTCGTGCTTTTGCTGTGTCTTTTCTTTAGAGTTCTAACTACCACTGACCTCTACCATATTTCTGGGAGGGCTTCAACTTCCTCTTTACTCATTTAACTGTAGCTAGATTTTCTCCAAAGCTCTGGATGTAGAAAATGAATGCCTCTTTTTCTCTTCTGTTCTCTTGTTTCTCCTCCTCCTCTTCTTCTTCCTCCTCCTCCTCCTATTTCTTCTTCTTACGCTCTCTCTCTACCCCCTCCTTTGGATTATGAATTATAAAAGATTTGCTGGAAAAAAAAGAGTAATCTAAAAAGTACAGAAAAAAAAAAAAACCTATGTAGTAGTTTCTTATTCTCAAAAACAGGCATTGCCTTGATGAAAAAGGTTATTAAAAAACTAAAATTAGGCAACAAAAATAAAAATTATTAAAATATGGAAACTACCTAAACATTTTTTCTTAATCAATAATACACTAAAGGCATATGTATCTGATATCTAACAAGCAAGAGAATTTAGGAAAAACAGAAAAAATTAAGAAATGATTTTAAAAGTTTTCTTCATACATCTTGAGTCTTCTGTTTAATAACTGTTTGAGAAGCAAGTGGAAAGGTCAGAGAGGGGCAAGCCAAGATGAAACAAGTGAGAGAAATGAGACTATCTGTACACTAACTTTTTGATGTTATAATTATTAAACTGCATGATGCAAGGCAGCAGCCTAATAGCAAATTAGCACCATTACTTTC
This sequence comes from Homo sapiens, assembly GCF_000001405.40. Classification (NCBI taxonomy): domain Eukaryota; kingdom Metazoa; phylum Chordata; class Mammalia; order Primates; family Hominidae; genus Homo; species Homo sapiens. Next base: position 155,695,010 of record NC_000002.12, read on the forward strand.
CACAAGTATATTATCATATTGAGATTATTATCATGCATCCTAACAATTACATAATGTTGAAATATGATTATAAGTATAAGGTGATATGGAGCTCATCAGTTTTAATATCTGTTTGCTCATTAACTGCAAATACCTCCCAAAAACATTCCAATTTAAAAGCTACATATTGCTATAACTTTAAAACCACATATTATGTAATTCTGTCTATTTTGTAGTTTTCCCAGAGGTCAAGAAAAATAAATAAATAAAGCAACCAAGCTAATTTTCAAAATCTAAAAGTTTCTTATAGAAATTTTGATTTTGAGCCTACAGTTAATGAAAATCCAGACAACCAGGCAAAGAAAATATTTAGAAATCAATAAGTATATGCCAAGTGATTAGATGATTAAAAATGAATAGAAAAATGAGCCTCCTGTTTTATAGCACTAATATTGTAATAATTGATCAAAAGTAAATATTAAAGTTACATTAAACATGCAAAACTGACATTCCAAGTATTTATCATTTTGCAACTTATTCATAGCTGAAAATAGTCACTCAGTTCTAAAGTGCACACTAACGTATTTTTCAGTTTTGTGAGCTTAGTCTCAAACATCACATTTCTTCAGATTTCAGGCTAGGCTTACCTGTCTTTAAAGCCAGGAGATAGACATAAACAGAGTAACAAACAGTTACTAAACATTCAATTCCATGCATTGTGCAGCATCAGCATAAAATAAAATTTCTAGCTCTGTCTGTGCAATTTCAAATATTATACGGCTTTGCTTATTGCTTTCCTGCTTGATTACTTAATTAGGCATATACATATGCTTAAGACTTTGCTAAGAATACATATACATATATACATTTTTATATGTATATATTTGTATATACATACATACATTTTATAGGTATATATTTCTGTATACATATATACATTTTTATATGTATATTTTGTATATATACACTTTTATATGTATATATTTGTATATACATATACAAACATAATATAAATATACAGATATGTATATACAAAATACGTATATAATATATTGCATAAATACAAAAATTTGTATATAAATATATGTCTATAAGTATACATATGTATTTATGTGTATATGTATATTTAGTTTTATGTTTATATAAAATATTTTGTATATTTTATAATATATAAATTGAAATATATAAATATATTATAAATCTATAAATATACATATAATAGATAAATTTATTTATTTCATAATTTGATAATATATTAATTTATTAATATAAATTCATGCATAGATCTAAATATTTTATGAATATTATATATTTATATAGTTTTATATTGGCAAAGTCTTCAATCCCTAAAAATGTTTACTAACCTTCCTACAAATTTCAGAAACACCAGAGACTTTACGCCTACTACTTATCTCTAAATTTAGGGAAAGAATAACAGATACTTTTAAAAACTCATCTGAATAAGTAAAAATAAATATTAGCAAAACTTGGTGCAAATATCAGCAATTATATGAAATATTTTTGAAATTCAAGATATTAAATACTATTGAATTGTCAGCCATTTTTTAATTTGCTTAATATTAAATGCTTAGTACAAATTATTAAACATTCATGACATGTCAGGCAGGAAGATGAGGAAGTCTGGTCATTTATCCTTAAGGAGATCACAGACTTGCAAGATAAACATATTAGGGGATAATTAAAATACAGTTTGATAAATACGTAAAGTTTTGAGCCAGTTACATTAAAAATTCAAGGGAAGAGTGACTAATTCTTTCAACAGAGTTACAAAAACCTTCAAAAAGGAAGTGATACTTCATTTAAAACCGACAAAAACATTCCAACACAAAGAACAGGGCAAGAATCATTACATGTCATAGTATTATTATAAAATGGCATAGGGTATGTTTAGATATTTGTAACTTATTGAGATGGTAAATATGCTTATAGAGTAAAAAAGGAAACCCCATCATTAATAGCCTTTATCACACATTTTTATTAGTAGTTAATAGACAGTTATAGAATTTTATAAATTGAGGTATAGAATTTTTTGTGTTTTTTTGTTTTTGTTTATTAATCTTTTATTTATTTATTTATTTGAGATGAAGTCTCACTCTGTTGCACCGGCTGGAGTGCAGTGGTGCGATCTCGGCTCGCTGCAACCTCCTCCTCCCAGGTTCAAGTGATCCTCCTGCCTCAGTCCCCCAGTAGCTGGGATTACAGGCACGTGTGCCAACATGCCCAGATAATTTTTGTTATTTTTAGTAGAGACGGGGTTTCGTCATGTTGGCCAGGCTGGTCTCGAACTCCTTACTTCAGGTGATCCACCCACATCAGCCTCCCAAAGTGCTGGGATTACAGGCGTGACCCACTGCGCCTGGCCGATTATTCTTTTAAGTTCAGGGGTACAACTGCAAGTTGTTATATAGGTAAACGTGTGTTGTGGGAGTTTGCTGTGCAGATTATTTCATCATCCAGTTTTGTTTTGTTTTGTTTTGTTTTGTTTTGTTTTGTTTTTGATAGGGAGTCTTGCTCTATCGCCCAGTCTGGAGTGCAGTGGCGCGATCTCAGCTCACTGCAAGCTCCGCCTCCCGGGTTCTCGCCATTCTCCTGCCTCAGCCTTCCGAGTAGCTGGGATTACAGGCGCCGGCCGCCACGCCCAGCTAATTTTTTTGTATTTTTAGTAGAGATGGGGTTTCACCGTGTTCACCAGGATGATCTCCATCTCCTGACCTGGTGATCTGCCCGCCTCAGCCTCCCAAAGTGTTGGGATTACAGGCGTGAGCCACCACGCCCTGCCTCCATCACCCAGTTTTAAGCCTAGTACCCATTGGTTATTTTTTCTGATCCTCTCCCTCTTCCCACCATTCACCCTCTAAAAGGCTTCAGTGTGTGTTGTTCCCCTCTATGTGTCCATATATTCTCATCATTTAGTTCCCATTTATAAGTGAGAACATGCAGTATTTCGTTTTCTGTTCTTGTGTTACCTTGCTAAGGATAATGGCCTCCAGCTCCATCCATGTCCCTGCAAAGGACATTATCTTGTTATTTTATATGGCTGGATAGTATTCCATGGTGTATATGTACCACATCTTTTTTATCCAGTCTATCATTGATAGGCATTTGGGTTGATTTCATGAGCAATCCCATTACTGGGTACATACCCAAAGGAATATAAATAATTCTATTATAAACACACATGCACATGTTTGCTCATTGCAGCACTATTCACAGTAGCAAAGAGGTATAGAATTATAGTATAAAATTATTAGTATTTTCATTAATTCATTTTCATTAGTATCATTGTTTTAATACCCTCTAAATGGCAGACACTGCCCTAGATCCAATTATACAAGGTCAAATTATACATAGCCTCATTTTTCAAGAGTGGGAAAATCAGTGGAAGAAACTGTCAAAAGATTATTTTACATTATCCATCATTTATGTTGCCCTAATCTTAGATTTTTTTCAGATAATATGATAATACCTAAGATAATATATGGTATTATACAGCAATATCATATTTTAAAGTTCAGAAAAATACACAAAAGAGGCAAGTAAGGAAAAAGTAGACTGGCAGTGAGGCTAAAATTCATGATGTAAAGATACAGCTCTCTAGTACTTGGCCATAGTTGGTGGCTCTAAGTACTTTTGCACCCAAAATGAATAGGTAAGACTTGGCAACTACACAGTTCACCATGTTTACCAATTTTTTTTTTTTAGGCTGAAAACCACCACTCTATTTTACCACAAGTTCAAACTGGAATTTCTCAGAGACCTCATAAAGACTACATTGTATAATATAATGTGTAATATCTTAAGCAATATGAAATAAGCAATAAGGAGTTTAATAAGAATATTTTGTATAAAATCACTCATATTATATAAACATATAGATCACAACAAAATATAATTAAGTGAAAACACATGAACCAATAGTTTAACATGCTATTGGATTAATATTGCTTCTTTGCATACCTCAAATGAAAGTTTCTTTTGTTGATACTGTCATAATCAGTTGAAAAGCAGTCTAAAATGCAATGCCATCTGTTGAAAAATAAAAATGAAATTGTTCATACTACATATCTGGGCAGATTTTCTTAAAATGGTGCAACACAAAATAGAGAAATCATCTGAATGCTAAGGTTGTTTTGTATTGTCATTCATAATATCAAATTTTACATTTTTTGGCTAAATACCTGCATTATTTTCATTGACTTTCAAAATGTCAGTTTTATCTGTTTTACATGCTGAGGTTCTATACAAGATCTCATCCAAAGAAAATGTTCTACTGTTGTTTTTTTTTTAAGTATCAAAACCTTTATTGCAACCCTTTACTGCTCAAAGTTCTCTCAGCAAAACTTTGTGACAATGCAGACATTTCCTTTCCCTGAAGGTCCCCACTTTAATCAGCCTTCTCTTGCTGGGGCCAGTCTTTAATCTCTGTCCTTAACAAGTGTTTATGTGGCAGAGTCATGTGAATTAGTATCACATCAATGCTGCCTTACATCAAATTTGGGAGCCTGAATATTGGGGAGATATGTGCTTAAACTGTTGGTGATGATGGCTTGGAAGAATATATTAAATGATGAATGTAATGTCTGAAAAGAATACAGTTTTGATTTGAACATTGTGGAAGGATGTCATTAGAACAAATCCCTAATATTAGAAACTATTCCTGTGTGACTTTAGAGTTAGATAATCCTTATCATTTTTCACCTACTTTTTAACTATTGTGGAATCTTATAACATCAAGGTTCAAGACTGATTTATATCTAATGCACTAATCTTATCACATCAGGATTTTTTTTTTTTTTTCTGAGATGGGTTCTCTTACTATGTTGCCCAGGCTGGCCTCAAACACCTGGGCTTAAGCAGTCATCCTGCCTCAGTCTCCCTAGTAGCTGGGACTACAGACTTTTTCCAGTGCATTAGGATTTTATTTGACAAAATCACTTTTCCAGTGATTCTCTTGAATCACAGTGTGAAAAAAATGTTCTGCAGTTTGATTGTAAGCTTTTCTCAGTTGTATTCAGTCAGAATATTTTTAAACCTGGGCTGGGAACACTAGTAAAACTTGGAGAGCCAGTAATATGATTTCTGATGTGTAGTTTATCATCTTATTCTTCATCCCTAAACTCCAGATAGAAGAGATGAACAGTTATCTGATTCCACAATGGTCCCATTCAATAGAAGAACATCCATTTTAAAATGTTGCTTTAAAAGCAAACTATTTATTTTATATTCCTACAGAACTTTTCAGAATTTAAGCCTATGTTAGATACTAACTGACAATAGCAGATTTATCCAAAGTTAGGAAAAAGAATTAAAAACAAACACTTTGGCTTGTGGTATCAAAATTGAATTACTAACTTTTAAATTGACCTCAGTAGAAAATAAAAAAAAAAATAGCAATACTAAATACAAATACAAACACTAAATACAAAACTAAATACAAAAACAAACTGAACAGTGCCGAACAGTTCATGGGACAATACCCAGAGTAAATTAAACCAAAGAATATTTTTAAACCCTGAAAGGCATAGGTACTGCTGTTATAAAGATGATCATGTCCATGAAAAAGTGTTCTTTAAAAGCAATATCCCCATTTTGTTTAGGACACAGCATTTATTGGGTTAAAGCAAACTCACCTTTTCAACAAGGACAGCTAGATATATTTTGACAGCACCAAGCAATTGGTTAGCTCTCCTGAGTAAAAAACAGTGCTGTGTAGACTTTTTTCCCAATCAATTATTTTTAAAATGATCAAACTGTGTCATATTATTTGTAATGCTATTAAGAATAATATCTAAAGTACTTAAACTAATTATGCCTATTTTGTAAGATTAATTATCATTAATAATTTAACATATTTTATCATTTAAGTCAGTATCCGTTCTGATCTTTAACTTTAGAGAGCGCACTGTATATGTACCACATAATTAGGGCTTATGTATCACATAATTAAGGCTAAATACTAGGAAATCAGACTAATGAGACCAAATCAAACTGAATTATTTAAGCTTTTTTCCTTTAATTTTAGAGGTAGAATATTTAGTAATTAAACACTGATTTCATTTTCGTGAACTTGCATATGTCTCCTTTGTTTCTGAGGTCCTTGCTGCAGAACAAGCCTTCCAAAGTGTTTCCCTGAGAAGTGAAGGGGAAAAAATCTCTCACTGGCCACAACTGGGGGCAAAATAATTAACACAGGCAGGTGGTTACAGCTTTTTTCTCTCCCCTTTTTCTGCCACTCTAATATCTTGGGGTCTTCATTGTTTGTTTGTTTTTTTCCAGTTTCCCAAGGACCTATGTGGCTTCCTATCTTTTTATATTCCATTCTCCCAGGACCTGGCTGCTGTGATGGGGAATTAAGAGCTATGAAATGAGCAATATTATTCAGGAGTTCCAGTTCTATGAAGAAATGTTTTAGGCAAAGGGACTTTGGCATTCTTTTTTACCACATTATTCATTCACTCCTTCATTCATTCTTTGAACAGATATTTATGAATGTCTACTATGTGCTAGTCTCAATTGTTATACAACAGAACTGGTGAGATTTTTATATACCCGTCTGATAAACAACAAATTGCATTTGTGGGTGTCATTTCATAAGTATTCACTGAGTGCCTCCTATATTTCCTGAGACCTGGCTAGTAGCTGCTAAAGATAGAGTGGTAAGCAAGAGTGACAAGAGCTTTGTTCTCATAGAGCTGATGGTCTTTCTGGGAAGACAATTACAGAATTTAATAAAATGCATTATGATGGGAGAAATATAGGGTCATGGAGGAAGACCAAACTTCAATTGAGTTAAATAACACTTCCTGTAGGAGGTTTCATTTAAGCTAAGGCCTGAAGGATGGTGAGAAATTTGGTATTCATATGTGCATGTGTGTGAGGGTGAGAAACAGCTGGCAAAACATGGATTATGAGAGAATGTTGCAGACAAAGGAAACATTTCTGAAGGCTGAATGTAGGACAGCAGCATGACTTGATCCCGAAACAGCAACAAATTCAGTGTAACCAGAATGGTTAACATTAAATGAGTCTGGAGATGTAAGTAAAACAATTGCCTAGACACACATCAGACCAGAAACTGAGGCCTTGTAGCCAGTTAAGTACTAGGAATAGATAAACTTTTAACTCAATTTCTCTTTACAAAGTTGCCATTATATATGCTGACCCTCTGCACAAACAGAACATAAGTATTTATTTGAAAAACTTCCTTGTTTTATAAAAATTATAATTTTTAAAAAGCAATCGCCTCTCAATGCTTAAAAAAAGTGCATTTTTATAAAAACAATTGATGTACACGCACACTTTCTAAGCTATAATTGCAAGAGGTGTTGTGGTTCAAAAAGACCCAAAAGGAAGCATAGACAATATTACTCTGAGGAGTTGTATCAAATTTACCATAAGGATCTTTGGCAGTATTTCTGCTCCTCTTCTTCCATTGCAGTGTAAGCCAGGGGCCTAGTTGTGGAAAGTCCTGTGTGGTAATCACACACAATCAGTGGGGTTATTTTTGCACATTTTTAGTATGGAAAGTAAAAGGCAATATAAACTCTTTATTGACAGATAACTTACTGGGCGCTTTCATCTTTTTACCTTTTTGTTTTGTCTTCAGTTTCACTCCTCCATGACAATGTATTTTTTCTGGGCCTCACTTCCTTTCTCCTCCCCTGGATCTGGCCCCATAAGAGCTGCGCTCAGATATGGCTTTTTACACGGGAAGCCAGAAGCAACGTGAAGGATGCCTTTCAGAAGGAAATGAGAGCAGTATGACATGGCTATTGCTGGGGAAGGTTGCTATGATTCTGAACTAAGACAGTAGGAGTGGGAGTAGAAGGCAGCAGCCAGGTCTGAGAGATACTTGTGAAGTAGAAGTGATAGCTTGGGTGACCCAGCTAGGGAATGGCTTCTACCAGAGGGAGGAGTCAATAAAGATTCAGATTTTTATCATCTGACAACAATGAATAAGGAATGAAGTATAGATTTGGGGGGCTTAGTAAATTCAACACTTTTACATTTTAACTGGATTTCATTATTTTATTTCTTGTGCTTTCCCCAAGGGGAGAAGCATTCAACTTTGCAGTGCTTCTAAAGTATGCTAAAATATCAGTGTGATTTAAATGATCACTTATATTTTCACACAATTAAATACAGCGATTAAGTCACTTTTCATATAGACAAACTATCTGCAAAGTTGTTTCTATCAGTCAATCTTGAAACTTCAACAGGAAGACCTATTAGCTGATCCCTGACATATGCACAATTGTTGTCAGGCATTATTCCCGGCTGCTAGCCAGTGTGATTGGCAGCACAGCTCTTATTCCAGTACTGAGGTAGTTCTTTGGGATCAGTAAAAATCCCTCTGAGATCTGCCTACCTCACTTCTGCCGTTATCTACCTAGTCAGTGATAGCAAGGCATTGAGGAAATTAAAAAGTAATGTATCTTCTCAGAAGAGTTAGTATCCCTTATATGATTCAGGACACACACAAGTCTTGGTAAGCCCTTACCAAGAAATTGAAAATACTGGAAAGAGTAAAGAAGAGTCATTTCTCCTCAATGTTAAGAATGGCCTAAATCTAATTCACATATTTATTTTACCTTATCCATTTATCAGTGAAGAGATCGTTAAGTAATTTTTGCAAACATATTTTTGACATGTTCTGGCTCTTTCTGGTGGTCTCAAAACTGACCATTACCTGGAATTGTTTTTCTTTCAAACCAGGAAAAGAAAATAAGACCATCACTACCACAATATTCATCTTGGGTTGCACAAAATGACATATACAATTTGAACCAGGAGACAAATATAATAATACTTTACAGATGAATCTCTTTTTTTTCCAAAGTAGATTTAGAAGAAATTAGGAATAGAAAAAAGTCTTAAAGCAGACTCAAGGAAATAGAGTTCTTCATTTATCACAGAAACAAATAATACAGTAATGACATAATTTCCCATAATATCACTTGATCGAGTCAACCTATTTCACTCATTTTATTATATAGACCTTCAATGTTTTAGATCTGTCCTGTCACCTGTCAATTCATGCTTCATTATGTTGCTCTTCAGTGTCATTCAAGGTTGGCTTCCTCCCCAACAGCTATTCCTGTCCAAACAGGAATCATGCATGCCATTTCTGTCTGCAGTGTCAATCCAAACATGATTTCCCATAATTGTATATTGCAGAAATCATAGTGAGCTGAATTCTCTCTGCAAAAGAGAAGAAAAAGCTCAGAACTACCCAGAAAAAGTGAATCTCCTACCATTTTACATTTGCTGAGTGGTTATAAATTAAGATACATTGTTTGCCCCACTTCACAGTTCCAGAGTGCTACTACAAGAGCCCTTTACACAATCAGCAACCTTATCATGCAGTATTTTTTAGAGTATAGTGTGGACAGAACAAGCAGAACAGAATCTATTAATTTCCCAGAGTAGAGCTATTTTATTAGTCTCCTGCAATATCTTCATGGACTCACAAGTCTATTCGATACATAGGACAACCTTCCAAATTTAGTATTTAAGTTTCAGAACTGCATAGTCTGTTTTCTCTGCTACCTATGAGACAAAGGCTGCTGTGATAGTTCTGCAAGGCATAGCTACCATGAACCCATACATAGTTTTCTAATCACACCATCTCTTGTTACTGACATGGTTTCTGTCTTTTTTGCCACTCATAGTCAGGTAAAGAAGTAGTCATAATGAAACAAGCCAACATTTATACACCTACAATGCACCAAGGACTATTACCCTTTAATCTTGACTTCCATCTTAACAGTTTAATTATCTAAAATGTACTCAAAAGAAAAATGAAGATAGAAATGATTGTTCTGGAACAAAGTCCCATAGATAATAAGTAGTAAAGGCCAGATATTAACCTAGGTTCTTGTGGACTTCAAAACTCCTGTTTTGTACCCTTTACAATATTGCATTCAATACAGAAATTTTATGTTTAAGGATCATTAGGTTTAACCTCCACATTTTACAGATGCTGAAACTATGCCATGTACTGGTTCAATGACTAAATCAAGGTCACACAAACATTTCTTAGAGCTAACACTTAAACTCATGATTCCTTCAACTCTCTTCTGTATCATGTTCAACTAAAACGATGATAATAGATATTACAACAATCATAAGTATTATTATTGCCATTGCTAATTGAAACCATACTTCTAGTTAGCGATGGAACTTCTGTGGGACTACCGTATTATTCCCCATGGTCGCATTATCTCACGCTTCCTTGAATAATAGCATATTGAGCATGGACTATGCGTCGGCTCAGTGAAAAAGTGGTATCATTAGAATCAGAGTTTCAGAAGCTTTTCCTTCCAGTGTCTTAAGACTTTACGTTTTCAAATACAATTGTGTGTCTATGAATGAACAGCAGTGCTTATTTGATCTTTTCACTACAATTAGCTTCGCTAGGACTAGGTTATTTCTAAACAGAAGGAAATAGAATACTCTCATTTGATGTTCTGATAAAATGCTGATACCTTCTCTGTTCTTTTTTCTTTCTTTCTTTCTTTTTGGGAAAGGAGGAGAGGATCTATATCATTCATCAGATTTTCAAAAGGTTAGACTTCTTACTGTGTGGGGATAAATTAAGTTTCATTGTAGTATTATCAGCCCAAAATACATGGGCCATATAGAAAATATATGATCATAAGGGCATTTTGCATATGTTTGCCCACCTGGAACAGTAGATGTAGTGCATATTCTCCTAACCTTCCTCACATAGTGCTATGCAAACATTTCACTGAATTGATTTTTTTTAGCCAGGCATTATTCCAACGTTGAAGCTCCATAGGAAAATGGAAATGCCAGTGCAAATTTCTATTTTTGATTTAACTATCTATGAATCCAAGTTTGAACTGGGAAAAAAATCACAACAGGATAATACCAGATAATGGCAAGTCTCACAATGATTGTTGCCTTATAACATCATTTTGAGATCAGGCACAAAGATTAAATTAGGACCCATTAATAGAAAAATTTTTAGAGGAACTTGAGCTCAAATTATACCAATCTGTTACTATTCCAAAATAAACGCATCAGGTGGCATTTAAATGCAGGTGGTTAACCGTTTTATCAGTGCAGATATTTAAGCTATTAGAAATATAATTAGAAAAATTAAATTAAACACACTTAATGTAGATTCTAATTCTAGCAGCACTGTCCTTAGCATTATGCTATTTCTATTGTAGATTATAAAATGTGCCTAAATTGCACAGATTTGCTTCTGAGTGATAGCTGAACTTAGATAATTAAGTTGTTAACCATGAACTTCAGTGGTCAACATGGTTATATATCTTTGTCTTAATCCTGCTCCTCCTTCTTGTTTCCACAAATCTCAGGGGAGGCAGATGAATGGCACTTGACTCTACCCAGCAACAGAGTCGACTGATTAGACATAGTCTTGTACCGCAGGTACACTCAATTATATGCCTTTTGGAGAGTCAAGCATTCCCTGAAGCTAAAAGTGTTGAATCTGTTGATATCACATATTTTATAGGAGGAGAAAACTGACCAAACATATTTAAACCTTCAATTTTATTTCATAACATACTTCCTTCTTCTGTTTAACACAGGAGGTAAGGAGTTTGTTGAGATAAAAAGGATAAATCAATTCTCTTCCAAATAATTAAGTCATTAACTGGACAATGACTTCAATTTTAGTAATCAAGTCATCTGTGCTGGGAAAAATGTGACATTACATTCAAGGCACAATTTAGTGTCCATTATGACACAACCTATATTTAATTTTTAAGATGTCAAATAGAACAAATTCGAGAAAAGCATACTGCCAAAGCAATCATATTTTCTTCTATTATCCTCACAATAGAAAAGTACTTAGTAAGCACTGTTATTAATGTTGCTTGTATAGTAATAAAGCTGCTCAATGCTGAAGATAAGCTTGGATGCATTAAACGCTAATAGTAAATACATACAAATAAAATTCCAATGAATTTTTTCCCCCACAAATTGTAATATACCTTCATTTTAGCCAAAACTTCAAGAAGCTCTTGAATATGCTGAAATTTCCAACTTGAAATAGTTCTAGAAATGGCAAATCAATGCCTTTTAACAAGATATAAGAAGAAGCCTAGCAAGTATCAGTAAATCTTAGCAATCAAGGGATCCTTTCCATGAGCCATTTCCTGAACAACACTATTGGCAAGTCCTTTGATTCCTGAACTTTATCGTAAGCTAACCACAAAACATTTTATGTCTATTTTGGCTTTAATGAAGGTAGATGTGATTTCTGAACAAGTTCAGGAAAGTACTTCTTTCAAGCAGGGAAACTGCTTAAATTAATTAAGCTAATTAGGTTAATGAATAATTAAGGTAATTCTTTCACTCTTCCTCCACAATTCAATCTCTTCATTTCTTAGTCATAAGTCTCAAATGGTGGTATTAGGATTCCTAAATACAATCACAAATTATATTTCTGTTTAATATTCTACATCACAATCAAGTCTATTTTTTAATTTTTTTTCTGAGATAGCTTAAATAAGAATGAGTCACCTCTCAAATATTGAGTATCTCTCTAATTAGGAAATGTCAATATCATAAACTAAAAATTAGTTTAAAATAGAGAACATATTTAGATATAAATAATAAATACTTTTAAAAAATCACTTATTTGAAATATAATAGGTTCATGAGCACCTGCCTTTCAAACCCTAGGCTCTGTAAAACAGTATTTCATGCGATCCTCTAATTACCCAAGGAGGTATATACTATTATCATATTTTTGTGGTTAAGTAATTCAAGACTCAAAGATGTTAAGAGACTTGTCCAAGGTCATACAGCTGAACATAGTGGAGCTTGGATTTGTCTGTTTTAAAGGAGGCATTAAATCTCTTTAGAACTTGACTTATTTTTGAAAAATGAGTACTATTACTTCTCTAAATGTATATAGTATATTTCTATAATCTTCATATTTCCAATGAGTTAGTCAACTGTTAAGAAATAGAAAATTTGTGAAAATACTATAGCAAAGAAAGACTAACCTGACTCAGTCAATTAGTAATTTGTATCTTTTGTCTCCAGACTCCTATCTTCCTGAACACATTGTCAGTGGTCATACAAGACTGCATTTTAATTTAGATACAAAGACATAAAAATTGGATTTCAGAGAATAGACATATTTTGCTATTTACTTCTGTGGTGACAGACATAATTCCTGTCAGTCAGTCATCTAACTTCAACTAACCTCTGTCATTCCCCTCACCACTAAGGGGCAATACAGCAGCACACATGTCACTGTAATTAGCATGCAGCAGCAACTTTCATTAGACCAATGATCTCCAATAAGATTTTCCCAAGGGCTGCATTCAGTTATGTGTAATCGTTAGGCGGGCCACACATGTATTAGCATATAATTTGCACATGATTTGCATATGCATTTAAAGATTGCATCCTATTTCTCTGGATATTTCTAGTAAAAATGTAATTACTACAACATTGAAGGTTGTGATTTCTCTTTCTCTGCACTATCCCACCACATCTGACTCATGTCTCGTGACAGAATAGTTCAGCAGAAAACCAGGAAAAGCCAGCAGGGAGGAAATAGTCAGTAGAGATGGTTAGGGTCAATAGAAATCTTTTTGGGGGCACTAATGATGAGAACTGAGAGTATATTGCATTAGACAGTTTGTCTCTTTTATAAGGATAAAGGAATAAATGCCCACTGGGTGGACCTTCTAAGAAATGTCTTTATAGTTACTGCTGATATCTTGTTGAGCATCTTTTTTTCAAACCTCATTACAGGCTAAACAGCAAATTATCTATTATCACTTGGGAAATCTCAGTTACCTCTTAATTCTAATAGTGTAGTCACATAACAACTTTAACTGAGTTTTCTACTAAACCTAATTACTCTCTGTTTTGAGCACTAATTTTAAGTGGAGAGCTCTCTATTTCCTTTAGTATTTTTTAATTCATATGGACCAGTCCCACACACTTGGAGATCATACCCACTCCCAATTAAAGAGCTTCCTGGTGCATTCATATTTGGTTAGGTAAAGGAAAAGTTACAAGGAAGCGCACATGATTGGTATAGGACAAAATTAGTAAAAATTGGGAATAAGTACACATGCATAGACACAGACATTCTCACACATTTTTAAATACATATATGTTCTTATGTTTGTGAAAAAAAATTATTTTCTCCCTCTCTGACTTCTTCTGCAATCAATTCAAAATCTACATTTGTTTATCTGGGAAAATGTTCTTACTGCTAATTAGATAGAGTTAGATAATACATAGATAATAGCTAGATGACAGAGAGGATCATAAAAATTCTGGTGGTTGTAGACTGAAGACATATAACTACTAGAAAAAAAGTAGTATAGTCCTATTTCCTCTATATGTTTCACCAGTGTTCTATTTATGCTTTGTTATTTCAGATGGTCAGAACCACGTAAGAAAATTGTTAAAAGCAGAATTTCCCTTACCTACTCTGGTGTTCTTTGAACTTCTAGGGCCAGGCCAGGAATCAGTAGAATGCTTTCAAATAAGGTCACACAATTTTTGGATGATAGAGCCAGGACTTGAATCAATACTTGTATAATTCCCTATTCTACCTTTAAAGTCTTGATTTTATGATCTCATTTATGTGCATAGTGAACAGACATCATATTCTGTTTTGTGAGTAGAACAAAATTAAGCAATTCTCAGTACTTTGTTCTTGCAGTTCATGATAACAAAGGACGCACAGAACAGAACTCATCTGTTGGCCAAACACTTAGTTAACATCCTCAACAGTGACTTAATAGAAGATGAAAAGATACATTTTTTCCTGCATCTTCTTCTAGTCAACCAGTTCTTTTGTCCCAAATTCTAGTATGATTTGGCACTATCAGCAACACATATCTTTGGTTTACCCATTGTATCCCTGGAAAGTGAATGTATCTGTAATATAATAAATTATCTGTAAGCAATTTTTTATTGGATAAACAAGTATGAATGTATAACTGTTACACAAATTGTTTATAACATAGGAAGCAGTTCATGATGTATTAAGTAAAAATGTAGGCTACAAAGTTTTTTCTTAATAGTTTGATCCCATTTTGGGGTAAGGAAGACAGAGGGACACATATTAATGAAATTATAGTTCATTGATAGTGTGGAATTATGGTTTCTTTTTCATAAGTTTGTCTTATTTTTTTAAATGTATATTTTTATAATAAAAACAAAAATGTTGTACGTTTGTTTTTGTTTTATTTTAAATATAGTGGCCCCTTCTACTACATCTTGGTAGGACTTTATGGAACACAGTTGGAAAACCCACATTATAATTAACGATCCAGGGTTCCAATATGAAATGTGGGCTTAAGTTTCTTACTTAACAGCCCCATCTCCTTATTCAATTTACTTTTTGGTGTTATTTATGTAAAAATCTGCCTCTTTCTTTAAACTGAAACTGTCTTAAGACCAAAAGCACATATTATTTATTTCTGTGGTCATCTCATCCTGATGCCAACCCTAGTAATAAGCTCATATGTAGCCTGCACCCAAAAGATATTTACAAAAATTTGTTCAATAGCTTAATTAAAACAGTAAGCGCCACAAAATTATATAGCTTACTAGTGAGTATATAATATAAGCACCCTTTTTGAAAATAAATCTGAAATTTAAAGAAACTTGGTAGCCTAATTTCTTAATGAACTCTATTGCCATTGGTCATGTCACTTCATAAATAAAAGTCGTTGATCACAAGGAAAACCAGACTAGAGCACCATCAATCATGTCTATTGGGGAAAAACAAAACACTTCAAGTAATATGTTTATGGTTCATTCTGTTCCTGATCACAAATAAATCATTAATTCAAAACTCCTGAAAGTAGTCATTTACCTAACCACAAAAGCTAAAGAGTAGGAAAAAAATTGTAATGCAAGAAAAATATGTAAGTAAGCTTGAAATCATGAAAGAAGTGAAAGTATGGGAAAATCTCACCAAGTCTAAAGAACTTCTATATTTTTAACTTTAGGTTGAGGAATATCTCCATTGATTTCTTTTTCATAAAGAATGAATACTTGGGCTCAATGGCAAGGAAATTAGAATTATAATAACTTTTTTATATCAGAGCTAAACCCTACATAGTTTCATCCCACCCAAAATGATCCTTTTCAGGATAATCCATTAACTGAGGTTTCCCATTCCAATTTACTATTGTTTTTCTCCTAGAGTACTGCCTAAACTGCATAATTTGATAAGACTGTGCGTATTCCTAGGCCTATGTGCAGTAACAGTTTAACCTTCCAGGTAACAATTGTGATAACACCTGAACCCAAAGGAATATCTCTAATTATAGACATTTCAGCCATCACTGCAGAGTGGAAAAAAATATTCCAAGCCAGTTGGATCTATAAGTGCTTTGGCTACACTTTAACTAAATAGATGCTTTTTGGTAGCAATGGCTCAATTAATAGTCTTCATGTTTCTTTCTGTGTTTGCTTTAGCCCTTGGAGTTTAGCACCTTTGGTGCGAAACAAATGTATAATCATGGCAGTAAGTCCAAAATTTTCCTTTACCTGCAGAACCAGCTTAACATTCTATATTATTGAAATTATATAGTAGTATAAACATGAATAGAAAGCTACTTAAACTGGAACCACAGAATAGTTCTTTAAACAAGCTCAAAGCACATCACCATTATTCTTTTCCAATCATTATTTACAAAGTTTTTGTTATTATACTTGCCACACTAAGGATATATAATGACCTACACATTTCAGTACAGTAAAGAATAAACATTAGTTGCCTTAAGACCTTTTTAGAAATAGTTTTTTTCAACAAACCCGTTTGGAAAAAAACATGTATCTTAAAATACAAACTTCAGAGTTCCATTTCTACTTTTGGCAGACTCTGTTTCAATTACCTATAAGCCTAAGTAATTCATATAAATTTCTTCTTCTTCATTAACATTGAGCACCTGAGAAAAATCATATAAGGCTTTCAGAATCCAGATTTTCACTAGATAAATGGCAAAATGAAATGATTATTATTCATGATATCAGTTGGCCTCTTCAGATACATACCTATGACTGTAGGTATGTAAATCTACCATGTTTAACTGAGTACATTAGCACTGCAGATTGAATAACCCACAACCCAGGGACAGAAATAATTATATTAAAGCTCATTTCAAGCCATGTAGTTCTCTATTAGTAATTGTATTGAGCTATTGAGACACAATCATTAGAGACATAAAATGGTCATTTTGTATATTAGTAGTAAAAGAAAAAATCGTAAACTTTTAAGGAGAATTCATAAAATATGTACTTTTGACTCCCAGTTAAAACATTGATTAAATTGGATGCTACAAAAAAGGGCACTAAAAGCTAGGAAACATCACCAAGGAGGGTGACTACCAACAACCACCTAAACTTTTTACAAGCATCTAGTCACCAATAAGGTAGCATGTACAAGGCTTCAAACACCTATTTTATCAAATGCACCTGGAAAACTGAGGTGCTCCCATCAAACTGCTGAATGCTTTATCTGGGGAAAAACTGACAGCCAAGGAACAACCCTGAACTGAAAGAGATGGAGAGTGTTGCCCATATTCTGTAACTCAATTTTTTCCTGAGAAATGTCAAAAATTTCTAATTAACAGGTTACTCTACTTTACATAATAAATATTTTTTATTATAATATTCTAAGAAAAACATATCTAATTGGACAACTCTTTTTAAAACATTCACATTGTTTTGTTTTACTATAACTGTCTCTAAACCTTGGTTTACAGCACATTATACTGCTTTTGTGTAAACTTACAAATACAGGTAGATGCTTCACATGTACTAAACTATTTGCTCCTCAAAACAAAGTGTTGTGAGTACTGTAACTAATCTCATTTAAAGGAAAGAGAACTAAAGCACAAAAAGGCATAAGAATTTGCCCAAAGTTACACAGCTTGGAAGAAACAGATCTCAGATTCAAACCCAGATATTAAGGCTCTAGAGCCCATCTTCTAAACGCTACATATTTACTTTCATCAGTTCCAAAGTTTACTCTGAACATTGTTAAGACAAATTCACCATTTCTTACTTCTGTTTATGAAAGTTTAAGTATTTTAATGTTCGATGTTTTCTCTTGTCCTCAAAAGAAAATTGAGACATGGGAAGGCAGTGAATAATGGCTTTATACATCACACCTCCAAAACCTCAACCTTTCCCAACAACCCCTTAACTGGTGACTATGTTGAAGTGAGTTAATGAAATTAACTACTTCTTTTTTAAGCTTAAAGGATCTATCAGTTAATCATTTCATTTTTACAAAACCTTCCTTCATACTACACATTGAAAGGGTTAAATGTGATTTCTGCAAAAATCCTTGAGGGCAATGCTATTAATAGAAAAAGGCAAAATTAATTGTACTACGTATCTTTTAGGCACATTGGTTTTTACTGCTGAGGGCTTAGGCGCAAGCAATCCCTCCACAAACTATGTACAGTATATATGAAAATACAAATATTTTTATTATATATAATATAAACATAGTATATATAATACAAATATATTATTATATATAATATAAACATAGTATATATAATACAAATATATTATTATATTACTTATTATATATATCACTCTCTCTCTAGGTGTACTATCTCTCCATCTAGAGAGAAAGAGAGTGAGAGAGAAAGACAGAGAGAAACCCAGAAATAGAGAGACATATCATCCTGGAGCTGCAGTTAGACTTAGGCAGAACTTATACTTCAGAAATAGTGTCTCTGAAAAATCAAAGTATAAACCAATATAAGCACGAACATGATACATAACTGACTCACGGAAAGTATGATACAAGAGCTAAGGAGTCCCTCACCACATGTTAACTTCCTACAGTGAGTTCCAGAATTCTCTAAGATGGAAACATGTAGGAGAGGCAATAACATACCTCATAGAATTTTAGAAATTCGGAAAAGAGTTTCATGGCCTCTTCTGGTCCCTCCTAAATTAAGTCGTTGATATCACCCACGGGTTACTTGTCTGATTCCTATACTCATCCTGACCAGATTTGGAATCAATTAACTTTTATTCAATCTATTTTACCATTTTTAATAACAGGTCAGGAGTCTCACAAATATTATCTCACTATTAGTCCCAATTTTACAAATGAAGGAACTGAGGCTCGGAGAAATTGAGAATCCCATATGTAGGCCATAAACAGCAGAGCTGGTATTCAAACTCACATCTGCTGACTTTATAAAAACAAGATTTTGTTAAAGTACTAATTTCATGTTGTGTCTGAAATTAACTGTACTTCCAAAAAGCTGCCATGCTTCTGTCTGACCCTAAACCATACAAACATGGATATATTTTGGCAGTAGGTCTTTGGTCTTAGCTTTTCTGTAAAGACTCCTTTGACCTGAGGCTCAGCCTACTTAGCTAGAGCCCTAAGCCATGTCTAGTTTCTGCCAGGCTGCTTTTCACGAGGGCACATTTCTGATGTCTCTCTCCCTAGATTCTACCCAGCTCCTATTACGTTCCTCCTGAGTCCATGAACTGCTGGTCACAAGGACTAATCCTCTTTAACTTCATTTCCAGTAGCCAGGGCAGTAAGAGATATGTTTAGGAGAAGAATGGGAAAGAACAGATTTTAACTATTTCATAGTTATATCAGACTAAATCTACATAAAGTTATAAAAATACTTGCAAATTGGATAAGACTTTATAATTTACAAAGTGCTTTCCATTTAAGACTTTAGCTTTACAATGAGAATTCCCATTTAACAGATAAGAACACTTTGCTTCAGAAAGAATTAATGCTTTATTAGGACTGCCTTATAAAGAAAGAAATTCTGAGCACTCTTAGTCATTGCCATCCAATTTGAAATCTTAAATAATAAACCTACTTTTTAATAGGTTATTTTAATTTTAGTTTATTTCTAAATATTCTTAGTGGTACTTTCTATCAGGATAAATCAATCATATTGTAATTTTTTTTAATGATACTTAAAATGCAGCTTGGTTATGGTCTCAATGATTACTACCTATGGAAGGACACTTCAAATGCAAAAATATCCCTATTGACTTTTTGTTTTCAGATATGTGAATCTCAAATTGTCTGCATTTGTCAGTCTGGAAGAAATTTTGATAGTCAAGTTCTATTGCGTTGAACAAAGCTGATCTTTTGCTCTCTTGTTCATCACTACAGAGGGCAGCAACAGACAGCAGAGCTCAGCCTTACACAGGAAATATTAAAAGTTTCTAGTAAACAAGAAGTTTAAAGACAAAGTCATGCTTTAATCACACCAAATTTTCTTTTGCCTTTATGCAGTTTAAAATTAATGACATCTATAAATTTTCATATAAATTAGCAGAAAAATGGAAAAGTACTGGGAAAGACTGGATTCTTTCAAAGGTTAAGTCTCTGATGTTTTGTACTTATGCCAAAATCAGCATTAAACAACAAACATAAACTGTGTGTCATACAACATTGAGACAAGTAAAATTTATTCTGTTTTTTTCTTGCCATTTTTCTTACTCATGCTTGTTTTATTTTATAAATCTCTGTCTTAACAAGTACTTTATATAAATGTTTATTCTCATAGAATAAATACTATTGTTAAAATGTATCCAAACTTACTTTCAATAGCTAAGAACTTTAAAAGCCATGGTGTTAAGAGAAGATTTACCTGCAAAGTGCCCTCAGGACAGAAATGATTGTGAATTGCAGTTTGCAGGGGAATGAAGACTGTACTTGCTTCATAGGTTGGTTGCATAGGCCTAAGACTGATTGTACATGCAAAGGAGGGCAGCAAAGATCTTATGATCAAAAGAGAAGAAATGACTGACAACACAGAGCTAGTTCAAAGGAACTAATGGAATAATTAGTCCCAAAAAGACCAAAAAGACTGAAGAATTCATGATGTCATAAAAAGCAGAGCTACTTAAATTGGATTAGAAAATAAAAATGACATGAACATTGTAAATATTCACAGATCACATCATTGACGTGTAATGTGCCGTTAAATGATGTCAAATTAAAGGGGAAATTACATGTGTTAGAACTAGGATGAATAAAAAGAAGACATTTAAAGATACATGGTCCTTCAAGTGAAAATTCCTAACATATATTACATAGATGATCATCACTCAGACAGAAAAACTGGGTGAATGAAATGTAAAATAAAATATGGGGGAAAGGATACTGACTAAAAACAACTCATTTTCAAATATAAATGGTAGTTAACTTTAGATTTTAGAGGAATTATTTGGGGAATTTCTTTTACATAAAGCAAACTCAAACATGGTTATTATAAATAACTGATAACTGCAATTTATTTCTTAAAATCTGTCCTAGGGTTAGCCCTAAGTATTGAATTAGTATGTACGTTTGTCGGAAAAGGAAAGAAGGGTTAGGCCTATTTCAATTTCCACATTCTCCATTTTCTCTTGCTAATTGTATATGTTATTTGAATCAGCTCAATTATTTGGGAGCTTGTTTGGAGCTTACATAAGTAATAAAAAGAAAAACACAAGAATACTACATAAAGTAAGTGTAATGTTTGTCCTTTCCTGAGTTTCAGAAATATCCCTTGAAGATAATCACATTCATTAACATATAAACCAATCTGAATTAACACACAGCTCAAATACTTCCAAAATGTATATAAATACATGGATAGCTTCGGGGTAGTCTATAAATGTTTACCAAAGCAACATTTTCATTCCTGATGTATCTTTTTTTTGACAAATGACTTAGAAACTATTATATAAAAATCATTCACCTTTTAACTGACTCTTAGTTTCTGTTTATCTATTTTTACTAGCAGTAAGTTCAGCTTTACCTGAATCTTATGTCATATTAACTAGATAGCAAGTACCTTTCTTATATTGACGCTTATTGTTAATAGCATTTAGCATTCTGTACTATAACCTTAGTACCTCAAATTGACAGAAGAAGCAAAGTCAAGATAAACAATAGACATTATACTCCTCCAAGTCGACTAACATTCAAAAGGTACTATAAGTGCCCAATATAACTTTTCTCTATTCTCAAAAATTCCCTAGGTCTCTTTTTGGTCTATGAAAAGGCCAGTGTGTTAAGGTAAAAAAATGTAATCCAGGTTGCAATGAAATATTTTTTAAAATGCATTATCAGTAGGCATAATCCCCAGTCTTAAAGCATTTCACAAAGCACATGGAACTTGCTCCAGCTCATTACATTCTCCACAAGAGAACAAACTATCAGACAATGTGGTTTGGGAAGCAGTGTTTGTCTGGGTAATGATGGAGACCACATCTCCTTCCCAGGCTTGTGGTCCTAGGGAACTCTATAAGAGCTCATTCCTCAGAAGAGAGAATGAAACATGTGGCGCAGGGGTGGCAGAGTGCTTCTATTACGGTCCAAGCTAATTTATTCATAGACAGAAAAATGGCATGCTTACATATTGCAAACCAGTGTATAAAATTTCTGCTTCTTTTCAGCCTAAAAAAAAGGGCATTAATTGTTTACTACTTCAGACTTCACTTATATGGAAAAAAATAGATTTGTTGTTGTTGTAGGAAGAAAGGGAGGGAATCTACTATAAACTAAGTTCTGTACTAGTCACTTAATATATACAAATATATGTACTGTATTAATTTTATTCCTCATAATAATGAAGAAATGATATCAGAGAAATCAGCCATACCAGAAGCTAATTGTAAATGTAAGAATTCAAGTCCATTTTGTCTGACTTCAAAGCTGATGATCTTCCTTTAATGGACGTATCAAAATCTCACATTATGTAACCACTATATTTAACAACACATTTGGGCCTAATTTGGGAATAAAATTTTGGTCTTTACCCTAGAAACTATTACCTTACAGAAAGCCAATTAGTGTCGATAGTATGAAAACCAGACAATATGAGACTTAAAATTTGTATGTTTTTTGTTTTTGTTTTTTTTTTTGAGACGGAGTCTCGCTTTGTCACCCAGGCTGGAGTGCAGTGCCACGACCTCTGCTCACTGCAAGCTCCACCTCCCAGGTTCACGCCATTCTCCTGCCTCAGCCTCCCGAGTAGCTGGGACTACAGGTGCCCGCCACCATGCCCGGCTAATTTTTTGTATTTTTTTTAGTAGAGACGGGATTTCACCACGTTAGCCAAGATGGTCTGGATCTCCTGACCTCATGATCCGTCCGCCTTGGCCTCCCAAAGTGCTGGGATTACAGGCATTAAAATTTGCATCTTTACCCATCATCAAGCTGTTTGATTTTGAGCAAGTCACTTAGCCTCTCTGTGCCATAATTTCCCATCTGTAAAAATGGAATAAAGATAATAACAATACTGCATAGGGTTGTTCTGAGAATTAAAGTAGTTATATATACAATGAACTTGGAGCAATACTTAGCACAGGTGTGCTATATTAATTCAATGCAAGCAATGTCAATCCACAATTTAAAAAATTGATAACATTTTTATTAACACATCTCAGAAATATAAGAAATTTGCAAACTAAACTTATAACTGTTGTGTGGAATTTGGGGTGGGATATATCCAGAAAAAAATCATTGATAAGAAAAATGATGAAGAAATACAGAGAAAAAGATGAAAATGTGAGAGAATGTAAATGAAGTAAATGATTGAAATAACTGCAACAGGTTATTTAGAATTAATCATAGACACTTAAATATGCATTAAATTCCTAGTTCTATTAAGAAGAAAAAAATAAGATTAGGTTTCTGTTCCTGAAACTTAAGTAAATCACATTCCTAATATAATTTTTCAAAACCAGCTTAAAGTTTCTGGGGATACTAATTTGATTTTATTTTGAAGGGTGGATGGTAAAGGACTGGATTCTCTTTTCGCCCCATATCCTGCAGGTGAAGAGGAAAAGAAAGAAGGGACACTCACTCTAGCAATGGTTAATTTTTACAAAGTATTTGGAACACTTCAGAAAATCAGTATAGACTATACTAGCATGGAAGCTTTTGAAGGATTAATAAATCTGTTCTGAAGATTCCTACTGCAGATGTGGCATGTAGGAAGGGTATATATGGCCTAAGGTAAAACTCTTGACAAGACAGAGGGTGTCTGGATTCTGCATTGGCCTAGGATATGACAAGTGATTGTAAATTTCCTTTTGCAGTCTATAATCTTGTCAGAAAGTAATGCAATCCTCTCTGTTGCAATTTTCATTAATATTTAGACTAACTTTAATGTGGAAAATGGACTGAATACTGAGTACAAACTGTTTTATTGACTCAACCAGTAGACAGCCTTGTAGTTTTACCAATGTTTCTAATTCGGTTGCAATGATTTGATCATTAACATCATACAAAGGATTTTTATACACATACCCTTACTTACATTATCTGTGGGCTATTTTCGGAGTTATATCATATCTCAAAGAAAAGTAATTCTATAATATATCAGAATGTTCCCACATTTTATCAAGTATATCAGTAACAAATGGTTCTAACTGGTGACTAACAGAGAAAGCAATATATAAAAAATAACATTATCATAATGTTTAAGTAAATTAACCTATTTTAGGCATAGTATAAGCAGTATGATTTGATAAAGACTATTTTCAATCAATATAGGCACTCATCATAGGGGAAATGATCACAAATAATGTGGATTTACTCTGCAACATTGAGAAAATGCAAATAAAGTCAGATTATCAACCACAAAAAGTACTTTTCTAATCTCTTTCTTGTTTCCTGGAAAAATGCAATGAGGACAAGAATGCCCAATTGTATTCCAAAGCATTCCAGCCCCATTCCAGGGGAAAAGTTAGCAATAGGATCTTAATATGTAATCAATTGCATAGTATCAAGAATAAAATTTCAAAAAATAAAAATATTTGAATATTTTCCTTAAGATCTTTTAGAAATCTTGTTCCTATTTTCTTGTCTGGGTTATCCTTATGACATTCTATCTGAAGAAATAGCAGTATGGATTCATTTAAATTGATTGAATAAGAGTTCCATCGAAACAAAATAATTTTTGTTTAAATATAAAGAGGAAAAGTCAATCAATAGGTCTTTATTCATAAAAAATTATATTATTATTTGAGCTAAGCATCATTTCTAAATATATGTATACGTAGTTCTCTGAGCTAAAATAATATGTTTTTTTCCTCTCATTGATAATGAAAGAAATTCAATGATTCTAGAAATTATTCAGCTAAAGAAGGTGGTTAGTCTAGCATCCAGAAAGCACCAAAAGATGTGATAGCTTTGACTCATAAAGAGGGATTACATTTATTCTGATAGATTGCACCAGAGCTACAGAGAGAAAAGTTTCAGTTTATCACAAGGAAAATTTTTAGAAAGATGGCACAGGTTGGCTTCAGAAACATTAATCTAGACACTGTGTAAATTATTTTGTAAAATTTACTGTTCTCTGGATATCTTCTATGAACAACCAGAAATGGAGGAACCAATAAGAAATTGTAACTCCACTCTAACAGTTCACATATTTTGAAGTATTAGAAAAGCTGATTGGTGAAGGCATTGGAGGTTTTTTTTATGGAACAGAGTCTTGCTCTGCTGCCCAGGCTGGAGTGCAATGGAGCAATCTCGGCTCACTGAAACCTCCACCTCCTGGGTTCAAGCAATTCTCCTGCCTCAGCCTTCAGAGTAGCCAGGATTACAGGTGCCCATCACCACACCCAGCTAATTTTTATATTTTTGGTAGAGACAGAGTTTCCACATGTTGGTCAGGCTGGTCTTGAACTCCTGACCCAGGTGATCCGCCCACCTCAGCCTTCCAAAGTGCTGGGATTACAGACATGAGCCACCGTGCCCGGCTTTTTTTTTTTTTTTGTCCAGTTTTTATTTTTAGAAAACAGTTCATTAAACTCATGTCAACTTCACATTAGTTATATATAATATAAATTAATAATATAAATAAAACATCCTTCTAAACATCTAAATAGTTTGAGCATGGTTTATCGCATCATTAGGCAGAACACCTCCTTTATGTTATTGCTGATATAGGTATTTCTACAATTTTAGCCTTCATTAGAATTTAGCCTTAGATTCAAGGTTGACTCAGTATTTAGTACTTAGAAATAAGTTTACATTTTTAATAATGTATATGTTTTGTTTTATTCCTCAGTTTTTAAATGTTGATTCCTGGAGATATAACCTCCTAGTAATGTACTCTTGCAGATGATTCAAAGGATGGATATAAACCTTTTCTTACACAAAATTGAGAAATGCAAAATAATAAGTAGCTAAAACATAGTATCTTCCACTGTGATTGTTCTAGAGTCAATGCTTAATCTAATTTTCTGATCAAGTTATGCCTCATACATTTTTTAAGTAATAAAAAGGCATTACTTTAAATTAAAAATATTTGCCTCTGGTATGAGCATAAAGTATATTCAGAGTAGATGTCATTCTTTAAAATATGTTTTAAAATGTTGGCAAATCTTTATTGATTTTAGAATCTAAACATAGAAAAGCTAATTTGCAAAAGGATCAAACAAACAAAAAATCAAAACAAAAGACTAGACAGCCAGGCATGGTGGCTCACACCTGTAATCCTAGCATTTTGGGTGGCCAAAACAGGAGGATCACTTGAGCTCAGGAGTTCGAGACCAGCCTGGACCACACAGTGAGACCCCCATCTCTAAAAAAAAAATATGAAAATCAGGTGAGTGTGGTGTTGCGTGCCTGTAGACCCAGCTACTCAGGAGGCTGAAGGGAGGATCATTGTAGCCTAGGAGGTCAAGGCTGCAGTTAACCATTTTCATGCCACTGCACTCCAGCCTAGGTGACAGAGCAAGGCCCTGACAAAAAAAAAAAAAAAAAAAAAAAAAAGACATAGTTTTTCTTTAAGAACATAAACTTGGATAAAATTACTTTTATCCGCTATGGTTTCTGTTTATTGCCATACAGAAAATTGATAGTATTTGATACCCATCTTCTGGATTCTTCAGCATTACACAGACACAGCCAAAGAGTCAAGACAGCTCCTAAGAAAAGGAATCTGTTTGCTTCCTACTTAGTAAAAGCTTGTTTATAGAATAAAACAGAGGCGAATGAGCTATAATCTGAAATTTTAATTTGCCCTACAATTAATTTACATAATTTGTGAAATGGTAAGTTATTGATTTTCCTAGCTACAAAGATTGCTATCTAAAATTTCTCACATGCAATCTCTGCTTCATACTCTAGTCTTATAAAATGGAAACCTAGTAAGGAATACACTAAAAATTCTTAAACACAAACATTGTCAAGGACATAATATTCTTTCAGAAGTTAAGGTTGCCCTCAGCTTTTCTGCACAAATTGACTTCGCAGTAAATCTAAAGTAAATTTTCCCAACTTCTCTCCCACTTTCCACTCTAATTGATTCTCCATGAAACTGCTGGGGTTGTCTTCCTAAACAACAATAATAACAAATGAAGAAGAAAAGAAAGAGAAGAGGAAAAAAATGGTAGATAAAAGGGAAAGTAGGACAGACGATGTCATCCAGCTGCAGAGACCTGCAAGGTGCTTCTCACTCTGTTCCATTCTTGACTCATCGATTATGGTAGTGCTCCACCTTCCCATGATTCAGCAACAGTGGCACATCTATCTTTCAAGATGATAGATGCACACCCTTTCACACCCTAATACTCCTTTCTTCTTATGCTTTTCATTCATCCCTGAATGCCTCCCCCATCTATTTTTCTTATCTCTTACTTAATTAAGAACTTGGTAAAACGTGACTTCTTTCATGAAGCTTTTCCTAATATTTCAGGTATAATTTGTTGTCCCTTCTGATGTGCTCTTATTGCAACTAGATTATAAGCTCCTTCAGAGCAGAGATCATATCATGGTTGATGATAATAAATGCTTCCTGGATTTAATTGAATTGAACTTCAGCCTCATCTCAAATAAAACTTTCTCCATTGAAGCATTTTCTGATCTTCTGTTAAATATGTCTCTTTCTTCTCTTAAGTGCTGTGATTCTAATTCTTTTATGCTTCTGATTTTATTTTTATATTATAATTCATATACAAAAACATCACTCTCAATACACATTGCATAATACTTGATGGCAAGAAGATTGTGGTTTCTGGCATATTCTCTAGAGTCAGTTGCATATCACATGAACTCAAATATTAAATAGATTTTATATTTTTCAGCAATCTTTAAATATATACATATTAATATTTTAAATTCCTACACTCAAACTTACATTGTCAAATTTGGTACCAAATTTACAACACTGTGTGATTTCTCTATAGGATCCTAAGCTTCAAAACTATAACAAAACTTGAGAGTGGTTATATTTAGATGTCACTATAAAATCATTTTAGTTTTATTTTTAAATGTGAATTTTTGAGTTACACATTTCTCATAATTCAAAAACAAACATTTTGAAAATAGGATATACAGTATTTACAACATGATTGCTATAAATTCATTTGAGTCTCATAAAACCTCTGCTCTGAAACTTAGCATATTAATAATATGATTAGATCCAAAAACACATGGCTAACTTATGACCAAGAAAGGCAAATTTTAGCTACCTATGAACAATCTAAATGATCTTTCCCTCTCAATATAATACTATTGTCATTATTACAAAATTAAATTGTTCTTGAATACTTTTGAAGTAAAAAAATAAAGCAACAATTCTGTTTTATTCAACAGAGAAATAGTGCAATGTGTTATTGTAACCTGACTTGTATCTTACTTGTAAAGTACTGGAAATTATTATTTTAAATTACGATGTTAGATTAGATTTTCTGCAGCTTACTGTATTGTAATGTAATATAATTGCTAAATGCAAATGAGATACTGTACAGCTTTCCCATAGAGTTGTTCATGAAAGCCAAGCATTTTACATATTACAGTGAAGAGCATGTTATTAAGAAACAAATTATAATGAAGCTTAACTTAGTATGAAGACCAGATACTGTAGCTTTATAATGGGTAACAGTATAGTAGGGTATGTGTGTGTATATATATATATATATATATATATATATATATATATATATATATATATATATATATCAAGTCAACTACCCAGTGAAAAATTCATTTATCAAGAACATTAATTATGGCAGGAGTGATAGCACTGTACTTAAAGATTTTCACTTGTTCCCATTACTGGATGTTGGAGTTACCCATGAGAGTTATTTTAGCTTCCAAACACTGACCAATGTTCTGTGCCTAATAAAGCCTGGGACTCATCATACCCCAGGGAGATGTGAAGGAAGTAAATTCTGTCTGGCAACTTTCAGGATAAAGTCTTTATTTCTTTCATCTGTAACTAGTATTAATTGCTAATTACTTTTTCACATGTGAATATCTTTTCTTTTCAACTGTGTTCTAAGTTCATGAAGACAAGCGCTATACCTTACACTCTTTCTTCGTCACCCTCAGTTATACAGGAAAGTTGATTTGGAATCAGCCCACCAAATCTGTCTGTAACTAGCTATACAAGATGGGGAATTAATTTAATCTCCTTGCAGATAATTTTTTCTCTAAAAAATAGGTTGCTCCAGATGACCTCTAAAGTCTCTTAAAAATCAAATATTCTGTGACGTATGATCTCAAAAGTGTTCAGAAAAATAACTGTGAACTGCTTAAATACAGTAAAAAAAATATTTTTAGAAACCAAGGTGCTATGGGGGAAACGTGTATAAATACACAAATAATAAAATCAAAAACAATGGCATTATTTAAATTATAATATTCTGGGAACTCTCAAAACCATCCTTGAAGTTGTTGAGGATAATCATGTAATTGTCATCCAATCACATTGTAGCATTTGGTTCTGCCTAAGACATCCCATCTTTGTACATTTGTGAGGAAAGCATTTTTGAGAGAAGAGGAAGGTGAAACCACAGCAATTAGTACTACAAATATCAAAATGGCCTACAAATTATAAAACAAAACTTCTCAAAGATATGTTTCTTACTCTTTCTAATCATAGTGTTCATTAAATAAAGCATAATAATATTTAAAAAAAAAAAAAGAAAAAGAAAAGAGCAGAGACACCAAATGGGTTTGTTGCAGTGCAGAAGAAACCAGCTCAAAAGCAATTTATTATTAATGCCTGAATATTCTTGCTAAACAGTTCTGATTATTTCACAAGAAAGAGGTCAAGGTAGTGGAGAAAGGGATTTAATCAAATAAACTCTCAATCTCTCTCCAAATAGCATTTTCATCCAGCTGCATGTAAATTCATCAGATGACTAGCCTCCAAAAGCACAGGCAAGGTTAATCTGCTATGACTGTTAAAACTTCTATGATATGCCTATTGAATAAAGATTTAAAATGGGATGAGCCATGCAAGTTACCCCAAATCAGATTTTTTTTTGCTCATAAAATACATGATATATCCACTGTTAAAAACAAACAAACGAACAAATAAGCCAAATTCTTTTCATCTAAGTTAGAGTTTATTACGATTTCTTAAAAAGGGATCTTGATGATGTGTAGTTTTCATTTATCATGATTTTTAGGAGTAGCTGGCCTCAGGTTCCAGGAATCCTAAATACACTTATCCTGTCTGGAATCAGCTTAAAAACTTTAACATGTCAAAAATCAAAAAAGAGAAGGTTACAATAAGTGTTAAAATATTTTTTAAAGTCATGCTGATTTACTTTTACTTATATGAAGATTATAAAATGAATTGTATTGTTTTCCGAAGGTAATATTGCTGGCAAATGTTATCACGTACATACATTTGATGATTTATTACTTAAAAGGTAAATTTTCATTTATGTTTTTCAAGAGAAAAAATAGATGAACACAACATCAGCAAAGAGGTATATTCGTGTGCATTTTCATAAATAAGAAAAATGCACTGTATAGATAAGATTTTGCTGATTTATTTTTGCCTGCTTCATGCTCCATGAAACTTTATAATTGTGTATAAATATATTGCAAGAGTTAAAATTATGTTTTCAAATATGGCAAGGTATTCCAACATGTTTTACTTGGAGGATGAAGAATTCTAAATTCATTTTCTTTAAAAAAATGAATTATGCTATATAGATTTGTTTCTATAGTTTTAAAAAATGTAAATGCAGAAATGACCTTTGACAAAAATATATATAATTTACCCTCAGTAATAAGTAATTTAAGTGGTATTTCCAAACGAAGCAAATGTCACGATAATAAACATATATATGAAGGCTTTTAAAGAATCCATGATATCTTTACTATCTGAATGCTCAATTTGTCAATTTTTTTATATTTATAATTTTAAAATCCATATGAAAATATACTACACCATGTAAATGTTTAGTTCAGTCTATGGCTACATCAATAATCCTTAAAATACCTTTCTTTCCTGCCAAATTTATAAGATTTGCTTTATATTGCGTATTTTATTTCTATACTTAAGAAATCATGCAGCAGTTAATAAATCTTCTTCAGAAGAATTAAAGTGTTTTTTTCTGCTGGCATTCTTTGCCCTCTAAGCTCTCAGCACCTTTCTTGAATCTTAGACGCCATTTTACATGAGGACAATTTCTAAAAAGCAAAATACAACTGTCTAATTAAGGGCTGTATGATTGGCTAGTTCGCGGTCTCTGTGACAGTTGTGACAAATACACATATTGGCACAGCCCTAACCTCACTTCACAGTTTGCAACACAAAGATGGTATTTTCAGAAATGTGGAGAACACTCTGATACAAAGCTTCACCTTGTCTAGTGCTATTCCATTTAATTTTTTATTAACTGCCTGAACATATGCCATTCTAGAAGAGGGTAATAGTTACAAAATGTCAGCAGAAACATTTAAACTGCTAAAATGTAAATGATTTTATAAATTTGTAATGAAAGGTAATTGTCATGTGGGAAAAGTAACAGGAAAACAGACAAGTGTAAATGTAAAACTGGTAAAGAAAAAATACATCTTATTGGTTGTAGGTAGGAAAACCTAAGTATATTTTAATGAGTACTGTAAGTAGTATTTAAATAAAATTAGATTCATACACAGAAAATGTGAATTCTATAATATTTTATTTTATAACATTAGGAAAGTTCATAACAATGACAAGAACTCATAGAACTTTAATGTGTTAAATTCAGAAAACAGTAGGACATTAAGATGTTTCACCTCATTTAAAAAAACAAATAAATCAAAAAAGGATAATATAAATAAAAAGTGTCTTTGGTATCAGCACAATAGCTTTAAAGCACAATATTCAAATATGATTAGTGTGTTTCCTTAGTTTCCACCACAGTGAAAAACAATTTAGTGATTAATCCCTTTAGCAACATAGTGCTGGGTCAGTGCTTTCAGATATGTCAAGAACGAGAAGACTCCGGCAAGGAATTGAGTATTTCCTCAGCCACCACACACAGCAACCACCTTCCAGTTAGGTTTGCGGGCAACCATCTTTAAATGCTTGAGCTGTTCTGCGTGGCCATGACAAGATTTGCAATTCTCTACGTTTATTTACACACCATCACCCCAACTAGACATCACATGGAAGTGGCATGGTCACAGCTGACCCCAGGGTAGTCCCTGTCTCTGCCGATCCAATTTCATCGTGCTCTGCAATTGAACTGCAGTCATACTGTAGAGGATGTATGCACAGGACTCCGTGCCACAATAAAATTAGCAGAAGCTTGTCAGGGGGCATTTTTCTGTTTTACAGTGACAGACCCTGGACAAATAGGTCTGCTTTCCAGAAATCCATAGAGGTCTGGCTCTCTTGAAATGTATATGAGCCCAGCATGTTTATGTCACTGTTCTATATGGTAAGCCTGTTACATGATAGTTTGAGAACAATGTGAAGCCTTTGCGCTGTATTTTCCATTTCCTCTTCACAGTTTTCAGGGGCTTTAAATTACATATGAATAGACTACTTATTTTCGGTTTGTAGAAAAACAGCTTCTGTTTAGTAGCAGTAACTGAGGAAAAAATGCATTTTTTCTTCAGGAAAAAAATGCAGCACAGATCTATTGTATGTTGAAAGCAAAAGTTCAGATAGAATTTTTTTTGTAGTTTGATATGAGTAGATAAATCAAACATCAAAAGTCTCTTTCCTGAACCCTCATTGTACCTGTAAAATTAGGTATATCAAAAGGAAAATCTGTGTAAGAGTATACATTTAAAGTATACTTGCAAATAAATTTGAAAGATTATTTCTTTAAGATAAAATGTTAAAAGAATAATATGGTAAATAGATACATTTTAGTTGTGGGTAGAACACTTTAAAATATAATATGTTTTGTAATCGACACTAAAGTAATTTTGTTAGATATTCTGTGCAGTTCTTACATCAAACATTCTCAAAAGCCCTGGGATCATTTTATATTCACTGGAAGACAGAAAGAAATCCAAAACCTAGTTAAATAAATTGTTCATTTATTCCTTCCCTTTTATGCACCAAGATCTACATGTGGTCATTAATTATAAAGAGACTATTATAGCACCATATTTTCATTCAATACGATGTCCTGGTATATATCAAAGAAGTCCCATAATTAAAACAGAAGGGCCACAATGACAATTAAAATTACAATCTATATGGGGAAAGAAAGTACAGTTCTGCAATTTTTCACCCTGTCACTGTCAGCTGCATGGAATATTCTGGTCACGTCTCTTGCAAAGCAGCCTAAATTCTTCTTCACCAATGCAACCTCAAAAGCATTATCAGCACCTAAGCAAAAGCCTGTGCAAGTATAATTTAATACGAAGCCACAGTTTGCAAGTAATAGCGTATAAAGTGATATTTAAGTGGTGTTTTAAGCACACTTCTGATGGCTACAGCCTCTTTTCCCTGGTAAATGCGTTTTCCTTTGAGTAGTGATTATGAGTCCTAGGTGAAGAGGTCCTGTGTGCAGGTCTGTCTGTAAGCCTTACTTCCAGCTGCCAATCTTTACTTCACAGTGAAGAAAAAGCCACATAGCACCTTGTTCTTACTCTTGTATGCTGTCATCCCCTGAGCCTGATAACACAAAATCATTTCCACGTAACACTTTCCTGCTTCTGCCTCTTAAACCTTGAGACCTACACATTGTGCATGCACTTGCACCCTTGGCAACCGGCTCCCAGGAAGCCCCTTCTTTTGAACCATCAGAGTCTTCTAACGGACTATTTTTAACACTTATCTTGGTAAATATCTGCATTAATGGAGTACAAAGCTTTTTGGTAGCAATATGTATTTGCTACAATTTATTGTCTATAAAAGTCACGAACAGTGAATTATTACTCTCAAAATTGTGTTTTTCTTTATAATAACTTTAAACTGAGCGCTCATATATGAAGCATGCAATGGAGATTGAGAAGGTTTTGTATAATAAAACTGTGACATGGTCATTTTTTCCAGTTTTGCATTACGGAGACACACTCATGCATGGTGCTTTTTAAATTCTTATTATGTGTGAGGTCAGGGGGTCGAATGTCAGAAAGTACTGTTAATTTCACGGGGTTAGGGGAAAGTAAATTCAGAGGGAATACAGATCACTTAGCACAGAAAACCAGCTCCTCTGAAGTTTGGTTTTACATTTGTTAACCATATCCTTCAGCTGACGAACCATTGAGACCACGGTGACATTCTGGTCCCAGATATAATGGCTTGACATGCTGCAGTGAGAGTGTGATTCCGTCGCCCTGCTCCCGTGCCAGCCTCAGCCTTCCTCTGAATCAATGAAGCACTAAAACTCCACACAACTGGAACTGAACAAAGCATGTTGCCATTTTGGCTGTGATGTTTAAATTATAGAGAAAGCAGTCAGGATGTCTTAAAGTTCAATCTGACAAGAAATGTAAAATATATTTCTGTCTTCATTCTCTGGGAAGGTAGCATCTCATCCTGCACAGTATCACTACCCAGAATCCTTTTAAAGTGGTTTGTAATAGAACATCAAAGACGAAATTTTTGCATTTCAGGGTTTTCTGCCTAATCAAAAAGATATCTTGGCGTTGGGCAAAGCTTCTGGGGGAAAATAGTATCATAGATAATAATGCCTTATTCAGTTGGTGGTGTAAAGATATAGTTTCTTTATTTTACCTGTTTGTCTTGTAAGACAAAATTAACATGCCGGCACACATATAGGAGGCATGGGTTATACAACTAACTACCAATAATGATGAGTTAAAATAGCCCATTTTATGGTGATGATAGCTGAGTAATAATCAAAATATGTTGTCGTGTGAGGACTGTGAACATGTTGAACTCTGATAAAATGTGCAATTTTATTTACAAATAGTTCACCAAAGCTGTAGAAACAGATGCTGATAGGTTTGGTTGGATGGTTTTGTTTTTATTCATTTTTTAAAACAAGATTTTTCAGATTCAAAACTCAAACGGGGCTCAGCTGCCCCCTTATAATTAAATTTTAATGACTTAGGCTGAGTGTTTGTGTTTTGGCAGCATGCTTAATAGTGTTAGCATTTAAATGGTTACAACTCGACTTTGAGGGGTAGACCCATTGCAAGTGGTCAGTGAAGTTCTTGGAAAGATAGCCTGGTTTACTGGGATGCTTCTGGGATTTAGTGGGACAGCTACCCACAGGCCATCCAGTTATAATAACTTGAAAAATTAAAATAAAATACTACATACTCTAAATTCCACAGTAGCCTGAGGGCCAATGCTTTTCAGT
The DNA here is from genome assembly GCF_000001405.40 of Homo sapiens. Classification (NCBI taxonomy): domain Eukaryota; kingdom Metazoa; phylum Chordata; class Mammalia; order Primates; family Hominidae; genus Homo; species Homo sapiens. The sequence goes on from NC_000002.12 coordinate 155,730,530, forward strand.
TTCAACTCTTTTTCACTAGAAGTACTATTCTGTGTGTTTTCCTATGCCAAAGGGTGCACTGGTAAATAAAAGCAATATGTGGTACTGCTCATAAAATCACTCATACTCACAAAATGGCAAGAATAATTCAGGGTACACATTTTAATCAGTTCACTTTTTTTTTTTTTTTAAAAAGAATCATTATTAACTTTGCAGTGGTGTATTTCACTGGTTCCTTTTATAATTAAAAACTTTTTCCCCTCAAATTCCCTTTCCAGCAAGCAGCCTGTTGCCTGAAGTTTTACTCCTTCATTACCAGTTAAAACAAAATCACCAATTAGGCACATGAACACGTCTGTATTAATCTCATTAAGGTGATAGCACCAAATAAATTGGAACTATTTTTGTGCTTTTACTGTGTTCCTATGGCTTTATCAGGCCCTGTGGTCATATACAAAGACCTCGCAGCTTAGTCATTTAGAGTCATTCGGTTGTGGACTGAATGTGGCATTACCATCTATGGCTGAAAATTGCTTTCAGCTTTTCAACTGCACTGACTAGTCTGTAGTTAATCTTAGATCATTCACTCGCAAAATTAAATGAGCCAGAACGATGGTCTTTTTTTTATATAAAATAATACATCACAAAACACTTATTTGCCCTGCCCAAAAGAGAGATCAAATTCATTTAAAATCCCATAAACCAGAGTTGTGAATTTTTAATTTTATTTAGTAGCAGAGAAATAGAGGGTAAGCTATCTTTCTACAGCACATCATTGCTATAAATTTACATATAGAAGATGGTTTGAAGCTTAACCAACCTTTAATCTATCTTTGATGTATACTTCTACTTCAACATGGTCATGTGACACCCTTATTAATGCAAATGTAAAAAAGACTGTTTTGGATCTCTGATGTAATTAGCCATAAACTACCTTAAAAAAATGTGCATACTTGAGTCACTGGAGTTGCATATAAAGTTCACAGTTATCATCACAGAAGAATAACCTTAAGAAACTAAGTTTAAAATTTTTACTTCATTCATTCCTACATTTTCTTCCCAAGTAACTATTGAAGGCCATTTTACTACACCAGTGATAGTTAACTAGGATATGACTTCCAAATAACTAGTTTTATTGGAGTAAAGCATTTTAACTTTTCCAGGATTTTTATCCTACTTCTTGTAGAACTAAAATCACATTGACAGAAAAATGCCAAATGAGGCAAGGGGAAACACAGTGTTTCTCACCCTGATTATCATATATCATAATGATTTCAAACACGTCATCTTTGCAATGAAGCCACTGAGCGTGTGTGCTGCTGTTTGTTCCTCCCTCCCTCCCCACTAGCCTAGCCCCACAATACAAGCCAAGTGTCTATGTTTTGATTTTGACAGTCACTAATTTTAGGCTCCGAAAACCTTGAGCCACCACAAATGAGGTGAGGTCACCTCATAATGCCAGAAGGAGGCAAAAAGTTTGGATATTTGAGGGCCTGACCCAGTGAGTCCCACAGTGGATGGCAGGACGCTAAGGTCAGATATTGGAAAATAAGGTTCATGTTACTCTGTCAGTAGGGCCTGTGCAAGCTGCCTGTTTGACAGAGAAGGCCGTGTATGGTCTGGATCTCAAGAAAAAGGAAGGCAGCCACCCAGATCAAAAATTATCCTGTCGGCCATCCAAAAGCGATTCTGACATCAGCTTAGGGAGACAGAAATAAAATGGTATCAAACACCAATTAAAATTGTACTTTATTCTGGGATAGTCAAGAGAAATTCATGGATCTATCTCAATATTATGAAAGTCCTTTTATTAAGAATACAATTGCCAAAGTCACATTGGTGACATCTCTATTCTTACCATATGTTGCAAGTATGCATGACTCGAACTGTGCAATTCTGTACAATTCATTTTTTAAAATATAGTTTAAACCATAAGTGCAAAATATAGTGTTGCATAGGAGTTATAAGTTTCATAAGCTTAAAAACAATACAAAAATGTATTTCTGTTTGAATATAATTTTTAACTTAGAGAAAAGCAAACTGATTGAAATTAACCAAAGCCACTCATTGGTTATGTAATCATTATGCTAATTATAATCATGTCTTTCTTTTTCATTTGTAATAATTTAGAAAAAAAAAGATTTTGTGACCAAAACATTATGCCCATTTTCATTGAGGCTGTTCTACCTGTCTTGAAAACTTTCTTGATAGTGCTTGATCTGATTCTAACTAAAGCAGTGCTTTTTAAATCTCATAGTATTGCCACTTTAAAACAGATATTAGCTTTATATTTTTCAATAATTTTTAATGTCTTATAGGGACTTAAATCTATCAAGATTTGTCCCTTTTCTAAGGATATGGGTGAAGGAAAAGATAGATATATAGTTTTAAATATATATTACCCATATATAAGGTTACTATTCTAAATACTGCACAGTATTAGTTTTCGTATCTCAAGAAAAAAAATCTGCATATTGTTGTTTATTCTGTGAAATATTCCTTTTTTTTAATAGCCTGAACCAAATAATTTCTCATTTTTACAGGCTTCACTTCACTTTTCTCACAGTGAATAAATTGCAACTTATTTCCATGAAATTCACAGATGACACAGATCTTTATTTTGCATAAAGGCATAAAGAAGTGTCTAATATCTTCAATATTCATCTGCTAAGTGGACATTTGCATTGGGTTAGAACGGAAAAAGAGCCCCAACCCTCCCGCAGTGACAGCTGTACAAAGGGATGACATCTGACAGCTGTGACAGTGCTGAAGGGAAACTCAGATGACTTGCAGCATCCATGATCCAATTACAGCACACATCCCTCTGACAGACCCAGCAGCTTGACTCCAGCGTTTGGAAGGACAGTATTGATCTCTTGTCAGAAACCAGTTGCCTGCCTGCAATTGTGCGCTGCTGAACTTTGAAAAGCTATAGTACCCTCTTAAATGATAGGGGCAGTCAGGTTATAGTATTCAGGTACAAAGAGAGGTGCAAAGGGTATCTGCTAAATGCTCTAAACTTGAACAAATCATAACAATATGACAGTCCAATCATACTCAAGGAGCCCAGCTGATCTAGCTGGCTACTGTCTGTGCTAATGGAAAGACAGCTCTTTGTGTTTAGTGGGATGATCTTACTTGATGAAAAGGCCACTGCAATTAGTGCATGCTGGTTGGCTGTGCTGGGTGACAGCAGCATGGATGGTACAATGGCAGCTGCCAATAACCCTAACTTCAAGAAAGCAGACAATTAGGCCTTTGATCCTAACACTGTTAGTCCCTCTACTCCAGACCTCTGCTTGGCTTTTACTGTAAACCTCACAAGGGCAATGTGGTACAACCTCCCCAAACAGAACAACTTGGCCAAGAGGTCAATTACCTTTCTCCTCTTGCCTTGTGGTCCCGCCTTCTGTAAGGGAAGAGACAGAGAGAAAGAAAGAAAGAAAGAAAGAGATAGACACGTGTAAAATGTAACAAGCAAATAAATATATATTTATTTCAACTACCATTTAAAGGAAGCTAATATATAAGCATCCATGATTTAAGATGCAAAACTTTAAAAGGAATTTTTAAAAACAGGGTTGTATAAACAAGATACTAAATTTTAAAATAGAGCTATCTAATGACAAATGATCTAAAAGTGCATGTTTAAAAATTATTAAACTGCTAGAATAATTAAAGGTTATCTCTAGTTTATTTTCAGGATTGGATAAAGATAGATGAAATTTTCTGAAGACTTAGAGCTTACACAAAACTTACAAAGTAAATTTTTTTGGCACTCTTTATCAAATGCAGTCCCAAAGCAGGTAAAAAAATTAGATAGCTGTAAAACAAGTTAACTGCTGAAGCACGTGCACACACACACACACACACACACACACACACACACATTATACCAGTATAGACAAATATATGATTAGAAAAATAAAGTCTGTATCAGCCTTAGAGAGTTTGTAATGGATTGGACATAATAGTAAGACTGGAAAACTGACATGATATAAAACATTAGAATATTTTTCAAAGAGACAGTGTTAAATAACAGCGTAGTATTATTAAAAGATAAAATTAGGCATGGAAACAAGGATTTCAGAAATGAACAGAGAACTAGAGATTTTTAAAAAGCATAAAAATATAAACTTTGGAAGAGCTTTAAAACAGAGAAAAACAGATATAAAAGTATCTAAGATAGCAGCAGACACAGAAGCCATGTGTTTCAGAAATATAAATCTTTAATACACATAAAAAGATGCCATGCTCACTCACATGTAAATGAATGCTAATCAAAGCGGCATATGAGATTGCCCAAATATAAACTGGACAATACAAAATCAGGGTGTGGACAGACAGGCATCCTCTTCTTCTGGAAGTATAAATTGTGGCAGACTTTCTTGAGGTTAATTCAGGAATATCTCCTACCCAAAATCCATGTTACTTTAAACATATACAAAATTCATCACTGCACAAAGATTTATGTGCAAGAATACTCATTGCAACATTGCTTTTAATGAGAAAAAAATGAAAACAATCTATCCAATCAGAGAAGATCGGTTAACTATATCATGATACACATGGAATAATACATAGCCAATAAAAAAGAATTAGGTGGATTTATATAAGCAGATATAAAAATATATTTTTATTTTTATTTTCTTTCTTTATTTTGTTGAGACAGAGTCTCGCTCTGTAGCCCACGCTGGAGTGCAGTGGCATGATCTTGGCTCACTGCAACCTCCACCTCCTGGGTTCCAGTGATTCTCCAGCTTCAGCCTCCCCAGTAGCTGGGATTACAGGCATCTGCCAACATGGCTGGCTAATTTTTGTATTTTTAGTAGAGACGGGGTTTCACCATGTTGGCCAGGACGGTCTCGAACACCTGACCTCAGGTGATCCGCCCACCTCGGCCTCCCAGAGTGCTGGGATTACAGGCATGAGCCACTGCGTCTGGCCAAAAATATCTTTAAGTATAAGAGTATAAAGTATAAGTATACTTTAAAATATATTTTAGGCTGGGCACGGTGGCTCACACTTATAATCTCAGCACTTTGAGAGGCCAGGGAAGGCAGATCACTTGAGGTCAGGAGGTGAAGACTGGCCTGGCCAACATGGTGAGACCCCGTCTTTACTAAAAATACAAAAATTTGCCGGATGTGGTGGCACACACCTATAGCAGGAGAATTGCTTGAACCCTGGAGGCAGAGGTTGCAGTGAGGCAGAGGTTGAGATCTCGCCACTGCACTCCAGCCTGGGCAACAGAGAGACTCCATCTCAAAAAAAAATTAAAATAAAATAAAAGTATACTTTAAAGTAACACGCTGGTTCTGGGTCTGTTGCTATCTTAGATACTTTTATATCTGTTTTTCTCTGCTGTAAAGTTCTTCCAATGTTTATATTTTTATGCTTTTTAAAAATCTCTAGTTCTCTGTTGATTTTTGAAATCCTGGTTCCCATGCCCAATTTTATCTTTTAATAATACTACACTGTTATTTAACACTTTTTCTTTAAAACATATTCTAATGCTTTATATCATGTCAGTTTTCCAGTTTTGTCATTATATCCATTCCATTAAAAATTATCAAAGACTGATATAGACTTTATTTTTCTAGTCATAAATTTGTCTTTACTGGTATAAAGCATACTTATACCCAAACAACTATTCATATATGTATGTTTCCCTGTATACTTATACTTTAAAGTATACTTCTAAAGTTTACTTTATATTATTTTATACAGAAAAACATACATATATGAATGATTGTTTATGCATTTGTATATACGAATACTTATAAGAGAGAGATATATATATGCGCTTTATGTATCTTAGCATTTCTAGAAATACAAACAAGAAACTGGTAAGAGTGGTTATCTGTCATCGATTGGGATGGTAAGGAGAGTTAACTTTTAGTTTATATTACCTGGCACTATTTGCATGTATGTGTATTATTTTGATAATAATTTCTTAAACCAGTGAATTTAAAAGTTTTTGTGTTAATCACCTCTGGCTGCTAAATATGACTATCCATGACAGTTGTTCATATAGATGGGGGACACACTCAGTAGAAAAAATGGTACATTCCCTAAAAGTATTGTACATTTAGAGATTTAAAATTGTTGAGATAGAGCTCCAAGAATTTATACTCTTCATTCCTTTAGTAAACAGACATCGATTGAAAGTCATATTTTATGGTAGGTTGAGACCATGAAGTGTAATTAGTAGTGTTCCTTACCACGAGAATCTTTTGTCTAAAAGTACAGAACAATGAAGAATGCTGAGTACCATTACCATGAGAGATATAAGCACAGGTGGTTTAGGGTACATAGATGCAGACTTATTCCAAGTACAGGAAGTTAAGGAACTATTTCCAGCAGAGATGATGCTAGATTGAAGTATTTGATGGCAAATATGGTCAACCAAGTGAAACAAATTAGTAGGCCTTGGATTTGAAGTACAGGAAACAGCATGGGCAAATGAATAAGGGAAGATTTAGGCAGTACAGCATGACTATCCATTAGAGAGCAAACAGATTAGTGGTGAGAGATGGGTCTGAAGAGGAAAGTAGACATTTCAAGGGGTAAGAAGAAGGGTGATAAATGACCTGCATATTTTCTGAATTTTTGCGTTTATTAAGATGGTATAAAGATGCAGTCGTTAAGTATGCTGAAAAATAAGAATTACCTGGACTCCATGTAAAAAGAAGCAAATTCTTGAGGCCTGACTCGAACCTGCTAAGTTAAACTGATGATCTGTTTGTGTAACAAGTATCCTGGATGATTGCTAATATCCAACAAGTTCAGAAAACATTGGTTGAAGGTTATAACTTAATATCTTTTATATTATTATCTTTAGCCCAAATTTAATCCAGCTGAAAATAACAAGCAACCTAAGTTTAAAAACTCCATCTTTGAAATTATGTCTCTAGTGACAAATATTAAGTGAAATAAAGGACACAAAATCTTAATTCCAACAAGACCATATTATGACATAGCTTTTAATTTATTTGATGAATACGTCTTAAAAATTTATATTCCTTGAAAGCATCTAGTAAACCTCTATTCATCTGAATTCTCAGTATAATTGATTATTAATCAAAATTATAAGATAAATATTTTAGACTAAATTATTCGGCTATAAAAATGAAAAAGGGTATATATTATAAAATGCTTTTGAAATACAGTTATATTTTATGTTTTATATATATATTTATGCATATTACCTTTTTTATTTATTTTCAATCTTAATTTCCTTAAACCTTTGAATTTTGTGTTCTGACTCTAAAATACATTAAATTTTATTAATATTAGTTTTACTGTATGCGCTAAACAGTTGGATAACTTTACCAATAGTAATTGACTTTATTTTAATAACATCTGTTTCCTATAAGTCCGGAAATACAGATCTCTTACAGCTAAACCACAGCAAAGAAACAAAAAATGTATCTCTAGCTTCATTATAGGCCTCAAAAAGGTGTGTTTGTTGGTTTGAGCATTATGCTTCTATGGTCTAATTCTAGGCATTGATCTCCTTGTGGATCATTTAACTTTGTTCTGCTCCATTTCAAAAACTGTGCCCTTAAACATGTTCATCTCTCAAATACCTGTCATTGGTCAGAAGGAAAATGAAGAAAGAGTGTGGATGGTTTTATTAAAAAAAAAAAAAACTATTCAATTTAATTAAATTCAACTCAATTCATTTCAACAAAAGTTTGAGGAATATATATTCTATGCCAGGAATGCAAAACCATGAACCATGAACTAGAGCTCAACGGCATTACAGTTTGTTATCAGGGATATATATATAAAGAAAAATAATAACATGTAGAATTAAATATAATAACAGAACTACATCCAAGGCATAAAAAAGTGAGCATTACCTGATGAGAAAATAGGAGGGAAGAACTCATCTATAGACCAATGGTAATTCTAAACAATAAATAAGAGTTCATCAGATTTATTGGCCATTGGAGAGGGTAATTTTGAGCAGAGAGAGCAGCATGCCCAAAAGTGCATAGAGGTGAGGATGTCAGAAAACTACAGCATTTTAGTATTGATGGAATGTATGTTTTGAGGAGAAGGGGAGACACTCAACTCTATTGAGCCTTTTCTCAATTTTTGAGGTACCCCACGTTGCCGTGTTCATGTTCTCAGTGTAGATCTTCCCAGAGTCCCCCATATAACCATGTCATTTTAGGTTGCTAGAAGGAAATAGGCAGAGGGATTGTGCTCAGCAAGATTGTATTTTACAACCATAAGTTTTTCTAATAAACTATATTGGAACAAAAATATCTTAATTTAAGACGTATTATAAAAGCAGACCCCAGTGCAATCCGAATCTTGAACTATAAACTTTCTCCAGTAAAAAAATAAAGGTTTAAAGAAGCCCCTACTCCAGATAAAATCACACCATGAGTTTTTTCCTTCGTCTTGAAACAGCTTGTCTAAATTAACCACTCCTTATGACTTTTCCCAGAAGCCCCATCTTGGTTCTTGCCTCACTACTAGCCCACCTGGACAGGAAAAATTATAATGTATTGTAAGTGAACAAATACCATGTAAAAATCCTCATGGATTACTCTTGACATTTTGAAAACAACACCTCTTAGCACTGTCATCATAATACTGTGTTTTGTAACAGTGGCTATCTAACCTGGAAAGCCATTAAGGAGGTTGGAACAGATCAACAGCATCCCCAACTTTTTGGTTCCTCTGTTCATCTAATTGGCTTTTTAAGGAAACAGCTCTGCCATGGTAACTGGGAGACCCTGCCTGTCATCACATAGACCATGTAGGCAATGTTTGACCAAGGTCTGACCCAAGCTTTGGTGAAATGGCCTGAAATTCCTCCTGGGACAACTGTAGACATACTGGTAAATGGCTGTTGCATGTAGTTTCTCATCCATATCTTATAGGAGATTCCCACAAGACCATTTGTGATCCCTATTCCTAGTCTCAGCAATGTACATCTATCTTGCTCCTCTTTGAGGGTGCAGCTTCAGGCTTCTGTGTGAGTTTATAAAACTGCTGTGTAAATAATAAACTTTCTGGATTTATTTGGGTTTGTTGCCTCCTCACTGGCTCAACCTATGGGCATGCGACAAGCAAACCTAGCAGCTGCCATCATGGTGCAGTTTATGGGCTGTTTGATCACTTGACAGACTTAATAGTTAGTCCCAAATTTCATCAAAAATATTGCTCCCTTTGTGAGAGAAATTATCTCTGGAGACACAACTTACACTAATTTTCAACTAATATTTATAAAATACCTCTTATACAGTGAGCAGTGAGCTTATTAACATTCTAAATCTCATTTAACATGAATAACTAACACGTATTGGACATATGTGCCAGCTACCGTGCCACAATGTATCATGGCAATTCCCTTATTAGTCCGGATTGACAGAGGTGGCAGCTGGGATTTGGAGAAGTTAAGTAACCTTCTCACAGTTAGTGCACAGTTAGAATGAGCCAGAACCCATTTTGGAGTAGACACAATTCAACACCAGTGCTCTTCTTTTTAACTACCACGTAATTTGGCCTCCACACTATTTAAACATTTTACTAGGAATCTTATTATGGTGCATTTTTAAAATGCATCAAGTCATATCAACATATATCATTTATTTAAGACACATATAGAGCTATCCTTAACAAAACTTAAGGAACATGGCAAAAAGTGATCCTCAGTAATGGATGTCCTGTCTGATCAAGGGTCAACATCAAATATTGATCTATGTTGTCACATATATACTCTGAAGATTGTATATTATTTGCTGTGTGCTGTTACTTTCAGCTTTTCAAGAATAAAATTCTAAGAAAAGCTTTCCTTTTGAAGTGTATCGATTTCTTACATGTTATGCAGTTAACTTGGCTGAACTCAAACTCAACTCTCACCTAATTGAAAAAAGTTGGAACCTCTGCTCAGTTGTTTCAGTCTTCCAGCTATGGCATTCGCCTTAAAATCATGATGCATATGTAGATTAGACATCAGACAAGGATGTATGTGGTGTTTATATGCAGCTTTTATGGCTTCACCTTCCAGAGATTTTTCCCTTCAATTTCCGTCCGTATAGTGAGTCCTAAATTTTATCCTCTTTTTTTTTTTTTTTTTTTTTTTTTTTTAGATGGAGTCTTGCTCTGTCGCCCAGGCTGGAGTGCAGTGGCGCCATCTCGACTCATTACAAGCTCCGCCTCCCGGGTTCATGCCATTCTCCTGCCTCAGCCTCCGGAGTGGCTGGGACTACAGTTTATCCTCTTTTTTCTTAGGACAGAAGACAGTGACATCCACTTCAGTTTTTGGTCCTGTACTGCAGGGACTGGAGAATAACCTCAGCAAAAAAACAAACAAACAAACAAAAACGACTAACTGTATAAATGTGAGTTTTGTCAAATATAGTGCATTTTTCTCAAGGGCCAGGCTAGTTTCTTATTTTTCAGCCCGTATTTGGTCACTATTCAGTGTCTTACATAGTTATTCTTTATATTTTATGTTGAGCTTATAATTGTTATCTATAAAAGGCTCACTCTGATAACAGAAAGTCATCCTCTACTAGAATTAATACTATGTGAATATATAAAAAGTTTCTTATATACTGCTTGTGAGGTGAATAATTTGATATATGTACATGATTTATATACATACTATTTAGTTATTACTTAATTATGGTAATTAAATTCTTATCCTTTTTATTTTTGTTACCTGTTTTTTAGATGGAGAATTATGAAATCTATTTTGGTTTTTTTACAGTTCTCTTTTTATTTTTTCTGTCTCTTTTCTTTTCTTGCTTTGTATAATTTATTGCTATATTACTGAGTGCGTAAAGTTACTTAGTTGTTGTTATACCTGTTCTCATATAACAGTCTTCTTTTTGCTCACTATATTCTTCTTGAATTTAACCTTAACATTAATGTATTGTACCTTTTAATTTGTTTTTCTACGATTTGCATGGCTTTATATTTTTTACTTAACTTGTTTGAGAAATAATTATTTCTTGAGAACAAAATACTTTGTAACTTATGAGGATTACATGATGGTGCCAATATGTTGCTTAGCCATTGCTTATGCACTAACACTAACAGAAGTGGATATTGCATAACAGCAGGCAATGAAAATTATTTGCTTGAAAATTTTTACTGGGTCAAAGTATTAGATGTTTTTAATTCAAATGTGCTGATAATAAATCAAATTATAGTATTTTCTCTACATTCCTACTAACAAGTTTATTGTATAGGAATTCAATTACTGTATTTCACATTATAATAAAACTATTGGATTCATGTGTTAATGTATGTCTAATTCTTCATGAGTCATTTTGTTTAATGTAATATTTGTTAAAGTGAATATGAATACAGATGCTATGTAGCAGTTTATAATTTAGTAATTTTTATAATTCAAAGAGGCAGGAGAGTGGCATCACCAAGATGGTGGAGTAGGAGATGCCAGGCTTTACTTCCCTCAACAAAAACATCAACTAGCAACTATACTCAGGCCAAAACACCTTGGTGAAAACTCCAAAACGAAAGAATAAACCTCAGTACCTGTATGCTCTACATAACTCAATAAAAGTCCACATTGAAAGGGTAGGATAAATAATCTCACTCTGACCATGTTGCTCTGCCCCAAGTTGGAACAGCAACACACGGAGAGAACTCTCCAGGGTCCATGGTTTCTACAGTGAAAAAAAGAGAACTGGAGAGGTGGACATCCAGCTACTCTACCATTCTAAGTCACTTCCCAGAAAGCCCACTCCATTCTCACCTCACCAGAAATGGGGAAGGTAGTGGAAACTGCATGGCTAGACCCCTGTGGCAAGGTAGAAACAAAACGTGGCAGAGTCCACCAAGACCAATGTGTAGATTTTTATGAAAGCTCAGTGTACTTCTAGCAATGGTACTCAATCAGAGGTAACAGCTAGCAGCAGAGCTGATCAAAGCTCAGCTGCTCACTCTCAGAAGAGATGGAACTGCTACTTGTCTCGTATTCTTAGGCAGCCACCCTCCAGGCTTAGTCTTAGATCCTATACCAGGGCCCCACCCAGGGAGGAAACATATCTCCACAGCAAATTTTTACAAGCAGACACTATATCTGCCAGGCCTGGGAATTTTATCAGCACTCCTAGTGGCCTCAAAGCCCACACCCAGAGCCCTTCCAGGGAGAAAGGCAAATCTCAGCTGTGCATTTCAACTCAGTATAGCAGTTCGTCCATTCATTCTGATCTACTTAACCTCAAGGTCCCTCTTGCAATGCTATCCAACTGCTGAACTCAAATATTGGTATCTTCTGGCCAGGGAATACACCCTGTGGCCTGGCTGTTTCAGGGGCGATTGCAGTGCTATAAGTAGCTCAGCCTGATAGCAGAGTTCAGCCAGTAGTCTTGCAAAAGTGCAGAGCCTAGCTAGCTGTCTCACTTGAATTCAGAGCAAAGGCAGCAAGCCATCTATCTAGAAAATCTCAAAGCAAGCTCTACCTGCCCATGGTCTTTAGCAGGTGGTCTATCCAGGATTTAGGCTAAACTAATTAATGAAGGTCTGTCCCTGCCAAAGAACTCGTGGAAAAGCCAAAAATGATGGCTATTTTCACAAAAATGTAAACTCTGATGCAAGGACACAATAATTAAAAAGACTCTGGAAATTATGATATCTCCAAAATGAACTAATGAAGTTCAAACAATGGACCCTAAAGTAAAAAAGCTCTATGAAATAATGGGAAAAAATGATAACTCTTTTTGAAAGTCCAGCGAAGTAGAAGAATACATGAATAAAATAAAATTAAATGGCATTTGGAAAACAATACATACACAAAATAAGAAGCTTAACAAAGAAATGGAAACAATAAATATAATCATATAGAAATCCTACAGATGAAGAATACAATGACTGAGCTGAAAAATGCCACAGCTGGATTTGATCAAGCTGAAGAACAAATCAGTGACTTTGAAGACAGATATTTGAAATTACTTAATCAGAGGAGCATAAAGAATAAAAAAGAATAAAGAAACCATATGGAAATTATGGGACACCATTAAGAGACCTACCCTGTGCAAATAGGCATTCCAGAAAAAAAAAGTAAGAGAAAAAGGATGAGAAAGCATATTTAAAGAAATATGTTGGTGTGTAAAATAAACGTTTCTAATATTAGAAAAGAAAAAAATATCCAGGTACATGAGGTAGAGGTTACCAATTAAATTCAGTTCAAAGAGGCGTTCTCTAAAACATATAATAAACAAGTACCAAAAACCAAAGACAAAGAAAACAATTCTGAGAGCAACAAGAGAGAAGAAATACCTCACAAAGAAAGGAATCCCATTATGACTATCAGTAGATTTCTCAGCAGAAACCCTGCGGACCTGGAGAGAGTGGGTTGATATATTCAGTATGCTGAAGGTAAAAACAAACAAAACCTGTCAATCAAGAATACTTTATTCCGAAAAACTATATTTCACAGGAGAAGAAAAAAAAAAAAAACCTTTTCCAGACAAATAAAAGTTAAGGAAGTTAATCACAGCTAGACCTTAGTGATTGTTAAAAGGAGTTATTTAAACATAAACAACAAAAAAACTGTAATTAATAACATAAAATATACTAAAGCAGCAAACATAGTGGTTTATATAATATAGAGGAATATTTAGAGTACCCTAGGACTGCAATGGTGGAGTGTAAAATAATTATATCCTTAGTATGAAGGTTAAAGGAAAAATTATAAATAACAACTAGAGCTAATATCAATTGTCAAGTGATATATATTACAAAATTACATAAATTTAGACACCAAAAATATAAAATGAGGTGATAGTAAAAGCATAGAGTTGTTTTATGCAGTCAGAATTAGGCTATTATGTGCTTAAAATAGACTATTATAAGGGTAAGATATTTATTAATTTGAACAGGCTTTTCTCAAAAGAAGACCCACAAATGGCCAACTAATATATGCAAAAAGGCCTATCACCAATCATCAGGAAAATGAAAATCAAATATAAATATAAATCATCAGGAAAATAAAAATCAAAGCAATATTGAGGTATCATCTTACTGAAGTTAGGATGGTTATTACTGAAAAGACAAAAAATAGTAAATACTAGTGTGGATGTGGAGAAAAGGGAACTCACCCACTAATAAGGTTTGGCTGTGTCCCCTCTTAAAAATCTCACCTTGAATTGTAGCTCCCATAATTCTCACGTGTTGTGGGAGGGACCCACTGGGGGATAATTGAATCGTGGGAGTGCTTTCCCCATACTATTCTGGTGGTAGTGAATAAGTCTCATGAGATCTGATGATTTTATAAGGGGTATCCCCTTTTGCATGGCTCTCATTCTTTCTTGTCTGCTGCCATGCATTTTGCCTTCTGCCATGATTGCGAGGCATCCCCAGCCACATGGAACTATGAGTCCATTAAACCTCTTTTTCTTTATAAATTACCCAGTCTCTGGTATATTATGGTAATCACAAACAAAAAAGACACATAGACCAATGAAACGGAACAGAAAGCACAGAAATAAATCCATTAAACTATTGTCAATTTATCTTTGTCAACAGTTCTGAGAATACAGACCGGAAATGGGATAGTCTCCTAGTAAATGTTATTGAGAAAACTGGATATCTATATGCAAAAAAAATTAAATTGGATCTTTATCTCAGTATTAAAAAATCAACTTAAAATGAATTAAAAGCATAATCACTAAAGCTTAAAACTGTAAAACTACTAGAAAAAAACAGAGGGAAAACTATACAACATTAGTCTGGGCAATGAATTTTCCGATTTGACACCCATCAGAGCTGGCAACAAAAGTAAAAATAGATAAATGGGATTACATAACAATAAAAAGTTCTACAGTACAAAAAAAAATAAACAAAATGAATAGAAAACCTGTGGAATTAAAGAAAGTATTTGCAAGACATACATCTGATAAGGAATTAATATCCAAAATATATAAGGAACTTAATCAACTCTATAGAAATACAACAACCTGATTAAGAAATAGTGAAAAAACCTGAATAGACATTTCTCAAAGGAAAACATACAATTGGCTAACAGATATATGAAAAAAATGCTCAACAATATTAATCATTTAGGAGGTACAAATTAAAACCACAATAAGATATTACCTCATACTTGCTAGAATGGCTTCTACCAAAAAGACAAAATATAACAAATGTTGGCAAGGGATGTGTGGAATAGGGAACCCTTGTACACTATTGGTAGTAATGTACATTAGTACAGCTATTACAGAAAACTGTGTAAAAGTTCCTTAAAAACTAAAAATATAATTACTTTATGGTCCGACAATCCCACTTCTGGGTATTTACTCAAAATATTTGAAACTAGTATATCAAAGAAGCATCTGCATGCCTATGTTCATTGCAGCACTATTCATAATGTGTCTCTAAATGGATGAGTGGATAAAGAAAATGTGGCATGTATACACAATGGAATAATAAATTCTGTCATTTATGACAACATGGATGGAATTGAAGAACATTATGCTAAATAAAATAAGCCAAACACACAAAGGCAAATATCGTGTTTACTTACTTATATGTAAAATCTAAAATAATTGAACTCATAGAAGAACAGAATAGAATGGTGGTTGCCAGAGGCTGGGGGTGGGAGGAATGGATAGATGATAATCAAAGAGTATAAAGCCTTAATTAGATAGGAGAAATAAGTTTGATTTTTTTTAAAAGATTGATTGCACAATTTGGTGCAATATAGCTAATAATTGAATACTGTACTTTTCAATATTGCTAGAAGAGTAAATCTCACATGTTCTAATCATAAGAAATGTCAAATATTAGAGATGGTGGATAAGTTAATCTGCTTGATTTAACATTCCACATTCTATCCAAAAAAAACCCCTTCATTTCGTATCCCATAAATATATGCGAGTGTAATTCATCAATATCTAACAAAAGATTAGATATTGTTTTGTGAGCTTCCAATATTGCTATTGAGAAGTTCAATAACATTCTGACTTCTGAGGTTTCATATTTTTCTTTTCTGTATCTCTTTCTCTCTCTCTCTCAATCTCTCTCTCTCTCTCTCTAACAAAAGAGAGAGAGAGCATCTTTATCTCTAACAAAAGAGACAAAGATTTCCTTCAGTCTTAAATATTCAGTCTATTTTAGTCCTAACCAGATTATCTTTAAAAATGTATACAAAGTTGAAATCAGACATTGTAATGAAGCTTTTAATCCATGTTAACTTTCATTAAGTATATTATAAATTCACATTCCTTGACACATGTTTTCCTGAATTAATTTTTAATATTAATTGTCAAGGCAGAGTTTTAGAATCATAGTAGATGCTAAAGCATTAAATATTAAAACGTACAAGACCAAGAGGGTTATTGAAAAAAAGTGTGATGCAAACAGCAATAATCAAAGAGAAAACAGGCAAAAAAAAAAAAAAACTGTCCCCACTATTCCATACAATTCTTTTCTTCATCATTCAATCAAAGTTTCATTATCTCTTACGTTCCCATCAAAATAATATATTCATTTCTGTAGTGGATTGAAAAACAGTCATTATATTTTACCCACTTTCCATCAGAAGGTGTGGTCTATTCTCTAATCCCTTGAATCTTGTCTAGGCTTTGACCACCAGAATGTTGTAGGAATCACATTGTGTGCATAACCAAACCTAGTTCTCAAGAGGTCTTGCAGCTTCTGCTTTGACTATTTTGAAATTCTGCCTTATAACTGGCATGTAAAAATCCATTCTAGCCTACAGGAGAATCAAGGCTAGAATGGATTTTTACATGTCAGTTATAAGGCCACATCAAGGAAAACAAGACCAGAATCAACTTCTAAATCAGTTAGTGAGGTTACCTTAAACATTCCATCCCAGCTGTCCTTGCAGTGACAGTCAATCATGCAAAAGAACTATACAGCCACCCCACAGATTTGTGAGGAATAATAAATTATTGTTTTAGGCCTCTAAATTTTGAGGTGGTCTGTTACACAACAATATACAATGTAGAATTTTTAAGGAATAGGTAACACCCTGGTGATATTTCATTTTTTTATCCTATCTATTTGTACTTTTGACTTGTTTGTACTTGAAAGATTGTACTTTTGAGTACAAACAGATAGAATTAAAAAAACAAGATAGTACTTCTACTAATGCAAAACTTATTTGTATACTAAAATGAAACTCTACACAGGGCTCAGTTCACTGACGTTTCTTAGTTGAGTGATGCAAATTAGTAATGACTGAGTAATAATCAACAGTAGATGTCCAACTCTGTGTATGTACTTTCAGTTTGAGTCTTGCTGATAGAAAACTTTCTACTTCCTTCTTCAAGAAACATAAAAGTTGAGGCAGAGTCAAGATGGCCAACTAGAAGCAGCTGCAATTGGAGGCTCCCACCAAGAAGAACCAAAACAGCATAGGAATCCTGCGCCAGCAACCGTGGTATCCAGGTTCTATCATCAACTAGGCAGTTGGCGTGATCCACAAGGGGCAAGGAAAAGCAAGGTGGTGCATTGGCCCACCTGACAGCCACATGGGGAAGGTGAGCCCCCACCCCCAGTCAAGGGAGGTGGTGAGTGAGTGTGCTACACAACCTGAGGAACCATGCTTTTACCACAGAATTGTGCAACTCACAGATCAGAAGATCCCATGCCACCAGGGCTTTTGATCCAACCACAGAGCTGCACAGATTCTCAACATCCACTTGGCTGGAATCTGGTAAGACTACTGAGTTCCTGGGGAGAGGGGTGGCCATCATCACTGCTGCTGCCTGCTGTCTAAGCCGTCTGAGCTGCCTGAGGGAGGGGCAGCAGCCATGACTGTGGCTGCCTAAGACAACAGAGCTCCCCGAGGGAGGAGCAGCTGTCATTACTGTGGCTGCCATCTGTCTAAGGCTTCTGAGCTCCCTGGAAGAGGGACGGCAGCCTTCACTGTGGCTGCCAGCTGCCTAAGAAAACTGAGCTCCCTGGGGGAGGGATAGCAGCCATCACTGCGACTGCTAGCTACATAAGACAGTAAGCTCCCAGGAGAAAGGGAGGCAGTCATCACTACAGCTCCAGGCCATGTTTTTCCCCTGCTGGAGCCAAGGAGGCTAAACAGCTTGGTCCCAACAGGTATTCTTCTCCACAGCATAGCACACCAGCATTGGCAGACCATGGTCAGACTGCCTCTATAGGTTGGACTCTGACCCATCCCTCCTACTGGGAGGAGCCTCCCTGCAGGAACTCCAACAACTCCAGCCAGGGGCTCAGGGACAGAACTCTGACCTCCCTGGGCTTAAACCCCCAGTGGGAGGGGTGGCCATAGTCCCCACGTATGCACAGACTTAGTCTTTCCTCCTGTTAGCTCTGAGGAATCCGGGCAGCCTAGATGAGTGGGTTTCCTCCCAGCACAGCACACGCCCTCAACCAAGAGTCAGCCAAAGTACTTCATTAAATGGGTCCTGGTTATCTTGCCCCCTAACTCGAGAGACCTCCCAACAGAGTTCACCAGACACCCTATACAGAAGCATTCCTATTGGCATCAGATCAGTGCCCCTCAATGCCAGAGATCCCAGAGGAAGGAGCAGGCGCCCATCTTTGCTGCTTTCCAGCCTCCTCTGGTGATATCTCCAGATGTGGGAGCAACCCAGATGAACAGAGTCTGAAATGAACACCCCAGAAAACTGTAGTAACCCTACAGAAGAGAGACCTGGCTATTGAAAGAAAAATCAACAAACAGAGAGCAACAATAACACCATCAACGAAAACGTCCCCACAAAACCTCATCCAAGGGTCAGCAGCCTCAAAGATTGAAACTAGACAAACTCATGAAGATGAGAAAGAATCAACAAAAATCACTGAAAACCAAAAGGCCAGAGCGTCCCTTCTCCTCTCAATAATCTCAACACCTCTTCAGCAGGAGCACAGAACTGGATGGAGGATGAGATGGAAAAATTGACAGAAGTAGGCTTCAGAAGGTGAGTAATAACAAACTTAAAGCTGACTTAAAGGAGCATGTTCTAACCCAATGCGAAGAAGCTAAGAACCAAGACAAAAGGTTACAGGAGCTGCTAACTAGACTAACCAGTTTAGAGAAGAACATAAAGTACCTGATGGAGCTGAAAAACATAGCACGAGAACTTCTTGAAGCAAAAACAAGTATCAATAGTTGAATCGACCGAGTGGAAGAAAGAATATCAGAGCTTGAAGACTATCTTGCTGAAATAAGGCAGGCAGACAAGATTACAGAAAGAAATGAAAAGGAATGAAAAAAACCTCTGAGAACTATGGGACTATATAAAAAACCAAAGCTATAAGTGATTGGAGTACCTGAAAGAGGCAGGGAGAATGGAACTAAGTTGGAAAACACACTTCAGGATTTCATCCAGAACTTCCCCAACCTAGCAAGACAGGCCAACATTGAAATTCAGGAAATACAGAGAACTACAGTAAGATACTCCACAAGAAGATCAACCTCAAGACACATAATCATCAGAGTCTCCAAGGTCGACATGAAGGAAAAAATGGTAAGAGCATTCAGAGAGACAGGCCAGGTCATCTACAAAGGGAAGCCCATCAAACTAAGAGTGAAACACTCAGCATAAACACTCCAAGCCAGAGGAGAGTGGGGGCAAATATTCAACATCCTTAAATAAAAGAATTTTCAACCCAGAATTTCATATATGGCCAAACTAAACTTCATAAACGAAGAAGAAATAAAATCCTTCTTAGGTAAGCAAATGCTGAGGGAATTCGGCACCACCAAGCCTGCCTTGCAAGAGCTCCTGAAGAAAGTACCAAATATGGAAAGGAAAAACCAGTGCCAGCCACTGCAAAAACACACTGAAATATAAAGACCAATGACACTATGAAGAAAATACATCAACTAGTGTGCAAAATAATCAGCTAACATCATCATGACTGAATCAAATTCATACATAACAATATTAACCTTAAGTGTAAATGGGCTATATGCCCCAATTAAAAGACATGGACTGGAAAATTGGATAAAGAGTCAATACCCAGCAGTGTGCTATATTCAAGAGACCCATCTCACACGCAAAGACACACATAGGCTCAAAATAAAGGGATGGAGGAAAATTTACCAAGCAAATGGAAAGCAGAAAAAAGTAGGGGTTGCAATCCTAGTCTCAGACAAAACAGATTTTAAACCAACAAAGATCAAAAAAGACAAAGAAGATGATTACATAATGGTAAAGAGATAATTCAACAAGAAGAGCTAACTATTGTTAAATATATATGCACCCAATATAGGAGCACCCAGATTCATAAAGCAAGTTCTTAGAGATCTACAAAGAGATTTATACTCTCACACAATAATAGTAAGAGATTTTAACACCCAACTGTCAATATTAGATAGAACATTGAGACAGGAAATTAACAATGATATTCAGGACTTGAACTCAACTCTGGATCCAGTAGACCTGATAGATATCTACAGAACTCCCCACCCAAACAACAGAATACACATTCTTCTCAGTGCCACATGGCACTTACTCTAAAGTCAATCACATAATTGGAAGTAAAACGCTCCTCAGCAAAAATGCAAAAGAATGGAAATCATAACAAACAGTCTCTCAGGCCACAGTGCAATTGAATTAGAACTCGAAATTAAGAAACTCACTCAAAACCACACAACTACCTGCAAATTTAACAACCTGCTCCTGAATGACTCCTGGGTAAATAATGAAATTAAGGCAGAAATTAAAAAGTTCTTTGAAACCAATGAGAAGAAAGAGACAATGTACCAGAATGTCTAGGATGCAGATAAAGCATTGTTAAGAGGGAAATTTTTAACACTAAATGTCCACATCACGAAACTACAAAGATCTCCAATCAACACCTTAACATCACAACTAAAAGAACTAGAGGAACAAGAGCAAATACATCTAAAAGCTAGCAGAAGACAAGAAATAACTAAGATTAGAGTGGAACTGAAGGCGATACAGATACTAGAAATCCTTCAAAAAATCAATGAATCCTGGAGGAGTTTTTTTGAAAAAATTAACGGGATAGACCAGTATCTAGACTAATAAAGAAGAAAAGAGAGAAGAATCAAATAGGCACAATTATCACCACTGACCCCACACAAATACAAACCACCATAAGAAAATACTATAAACACCTCTATGCAAATAAACTTGAAAATCTAGAAGAAACAGATAAATTCCGGGACACATACATGCTCCCAAGACTAAACCGAAAGAGATCGCATC
Source organism: Homo sapiens (assembly GCF_000001405.40). Lineage (NCBI taxonomy): Eukaryota > Metazoa > Chordata > Mammalia > Primates > Hominidae > Homo > Homo sapiens. Next base: position 155,751,685 of record NC_000002.12, read on the forward strand.
CTTGAATAGACCAATAACAACTTCCGAAGTTGGGGCAGTAATAAATAGTGTATGAACCAAAAACAGCCCAGGATCAGACAGATTCACAGCCAAATTCTACCAGAGGTACAAAGAAGAGCTGGTACCATTCCTTCTGAAATTATTCCAACACTTGAAAAGGAAGGACTTCTCCCTAACTCATTTTATGAGGTCAGCATCATCCTGATAACCAAAACCTGGCAGAAACACAATGAAAAGAGAAAACTTCAAGCCAATATCCCTGTTGAACATTGATACAAAAATTCTCAATACAATACTGGCAAACCAAATCCAGCAGCCCATCAAAAACGTATCCACCATAATCAAGTCTGCTTCATCTCTGCGATGCAAGGCTGGTTCAACATACACAAAACAATAAACATAATCCATCATGTAAACAGAACCAATGAGAGAAACCACATGATTATCTCAATAGATGTAGAAAAGACCTTTGATAAATTCAACGTCCCTTCATGTTAAAAATTCTCAATAAACTAGATATTGATGGAACATATTTAAAAATAGTAAGGGCTATTTATGACAAATTCACAGCAAATACCATACTGAATGGGCAAAAGCTGGAAGCATTCTCTTTGAAAACCAGCACAAGACAAGGATCCCTCCTCTTACCACTGCTATTCAACATAGTATTGGAAGTTCTGGCCAGGGGAATGGGGCAAGAGAAAGAAATAAAAGTATTCAAATAAGAAGGGAGGAAGTCAAATTGTCTCTGTTTGCAGATGACATGATCTGATATCTAGAAAACCCCATCATCTGAGCCCAAAATCTCCTCAAGCTGATAAGTAACTTCAGCAAAGTCTCAGCATACAAAATCAATGTGCCAAAATTAGAAGGATTCCTGTACACCAACAATAGACAAGCAGAGAGCCAAATCATGAATAAACTTCCATTCACTATGGCAAGAAAGAGAATGAAATACCTAGGAATACAACTAATAAGGGATGTGAAGGACCTCTTCAAGGAGAACTACAAACTGCTCAGGAAAATAAGAGAGGACAAAAACAAATGGAAAAACATTCCATCCTCATGGATGGGAAGAATCAATATCGTGAAAATGGCCATACTGCCCAAAGTAATGTATAGATTCAATGCTATTCTCATCAAACTACCATTGACATTCTTCACAGAATTAGGGCCTGTCATGGGGTGGGGGGGTGGGGGAGGGATAGCATTAGGAGAAATACCTAATGTAAACGACAAGTTAATGGGTGCAGCAAACCAACACGGCACATGTACACATATGTTACAAACCTGCACATTGTGCCCATGTACCATAGAACTTAAAGTATAATAAAAAAAAGAAGAAAAAGAAAAAACTACTTTAAAATTCATACTGAACATAAAAGGAGCCCATACAGCCAAGATAACCCTAAGCAAAAAGAGCAAAGCTGGAGGCATCATGCTAACTGATTTCAAACTATGCTACAAGGCTGCAGTAACCAAAATAGCATGGTACTGGTACAAACACACACACATAAACCAAGGGAAGAGAATAGAGATCTCAGAAATAAGACCACACATCTACAACCACCTGATCTTCAACAAATCTGACAAAAAATAGCAATGGGGAAAGGGTTTCCTACTTAATAAATGGTTCTGGGAAAATTGGCTAGCCATGTGCAGAAAACTGAAACTGAACCTCTTCCTTACACCTTATACAAAAATTAACTCAAGATGGATTAAAGACTTAATTGTAAAACCCAAAACCATAAAAACCCCAGAAGAAAATCTAGGCAATACCATTCAGGACATAGGCATGGGCAAAGATTTCATGATGAAATTGCCAAAAGCAATTGCAACAAAAGCCAAAATTGACAAATGGGATCTAATTAAACTAAAGAGCTTCTGCACAGCAAAAGAAACCATCATCAGAGCGAACAGGCAACCTACAGAATGGGAGAAAATTTTTGCAATCTACCCACCTGATGAAAGTCTAATATCCAGAATTTACAGGAAACTTAAAACAAATTTACAAGAATAAAACAACCCCATAAAAAAGTGGGCAAGGGACATGAACAGACACTTCTCAAAAGAAGACATTCATGTGGCCAACAAACATGTGAAAAAAAGATCAACATCACTGATCATTAGAAAAATGCTAATCAAAACCACATTGAGATACAATCTCAATGTCATAATAGAGATTATTCAACAGTCAAGAAACAACAAATGTTGTTGTGACTGTGGAGAAATAGGAACGCATTTACTCTGTTGTTGGGAACGTAAATTAGTTCAACCATTGTGGAAGACAGTGTGGTGATTCCTCACGGATCTATAACTGGAAATACCATTTGACCCAGCAATCCCACTACTGGGTATTTTCCCAGAAGGAATAAAAATCATTCTATTATAAAGACACATGCACATGTATGTTTATTGCAGCACTATTCACAATAGCAAAGACATGGAATCAACCAAAAAGCCCATCAATGATAGACCTGATAAAGAAAATGTGGTATATACCTACTGTGGAATACTATGCAGCCATAACAAAGAACAAGATCATGTCCTTTGCAGGGACATGGATGAAGCTGGAAGCCATCACCCTTAGCAAACTTACCCAGGAACAGAAAACCAAACACCACATGTACTCACTCATAAGTGGGAGTTTAACAACGAGAACACATGGACACAGGGAGAGGAACAACACACACTGGGGCATGTCGGTGAGTGGGGTAGGGAGAACATCAGGACAAATAGCTAATGCATGCAAGGCTTAATACCTAGGTGATGGTTTGACAGTGTAGCAAACCACCATGGCATATGTTTACCTATGTAACAAAACTGCACGTTCTGCACATGTATCCCACAACTTAAAGTAAAATAAAATAACAAAAAAGTTGGACCCTGACAGTAAAGCTGAAACACTATAAAATATTTACCTGTAAAAATAAATAAAATAAAATAAAATAAAATAAAATAAAATAAAATAAAAATAAAGGTCATTGTAGGTGGATAGAGTTTCGTTCCAAATGAAGGGATTTTGTTCTGTGTTCCCTCTTATGCGGTGTTCTGGTCCCAATCCTGTTAGAGGATGTATTCTACCTTCACTTTACTAGACTTTTCAGCACAACCAAAGCATTTTTTAGATTAGCGTCTAATTATTATGCTAGTTTTATGTTATTAGAGATGTTTGGGGTAGGAGAAGCCTAAATTTGATAAGCAGTACTTTAGGGAGATTCAAAAATTTAAATTCATAGACTTATTGGTGTTGCATTCAGTGCTTCGGTGTATTCAGTGTTGTATTCAGATTCAATATTATTATTATAATTGCTATTATCTTATAATAAATATATAGATTACAGGAAATATTTGTCTGTGTGGTTTTTTGTGAAGATAAATTAGAAATTCATTATGGGTTTCAGGCCAAGTGCTTTTAGGTTAATTTTGTCAACATGAAGACTTTTTTATAAATAAAACCATATTTCTTGAAATGAACTTATTTTCAGGATAGACATTCTAAATTATTCAATTATATTTATTGGTGTAACTGGATCTAGAAAAAATAAATTAAATGCATAACTAGTTTCTGTATATATCAACTACAGGAAATAATTGTGTGGTTTTTTTGTGAAGAGAAATATCTTTGAATTGTATTACTAGGTATAATTCTCAAGAAATAGCCCTCTGCTCAGTTTTGAAACTAGTCTCCAATAAGAATAAGTATTGTAAGTAAATGTATTTGGAATCATTTTCTCTGAATAGATGGTTCTACACCCTGCTTGCTAAACATTTATTTCTTATGAATTAAGTTGAATACCTGAGTATCCTAGCCTAAGGTCCCAAATTTTTCCATTTGCCAAAATTGGAAAGGTTAAATTTATAACCTTTCTAATGACACTTGGAGCTGAACAATGATTCTTGATAGAGGTTATTATGCCAATATAGAAATTCTTCCTACATTTACAGAAGAAAACTATATACTGAAACAAGAATGCTACACTTTGCTTACCTCAGCACCTTTTTTTCTTTCACTTTAATGTTGACAATTAGAATTTACCATTAAGGATATTGCTACCAAATGATCTCTGTAGTTTAAGTCAAATTTATGAGGTATAGTATGGGAAAAATTGTAGCTTCCTCATCTTTGGAATTTAATAAAGTCTTCATGTTCAGTTTAAATTTTTTGATTTATTGTTTCTGCAATAAAGAGAATATCTCTCTTTTAATGCTTTTAAACAGTTACATTCAGACATATTGGCCTGTTCGATAATTTATTAATGTTTGCTTCCTTATGATCTTACTAATAAGCAATATGACCAAACTTAAAGTAGATTCAAAGTGTCTCAGTTTGTATTCTGTATTACCCATGCTTCAATTTTTAAAAAATAAACTGGAGGAATAAAATCTCAATTTTGGGAAAAGAGAAACTATATTATACACACAAAAATTAAATATATAGAAATTGTCAAACTTCCCTGCAGATATAATACATTCCAAAAACAACAATCCACTTGACTAAAGTAATTAGTAGCAATCAAACTGACTTATAATTGAGTGGAAAATAAAACCAGGTGAAAAGAGAGTGCTATGTGGTGCTCCCAGATGGGTTAATTGCACTAAAATCTTAATGAAGTATCTTAATTTCTAATAGAAATTGGAACTGGATACTAACATTTTTTCCCTGCCTTTGATGTCAAATCAAAGCAAAGTTTTTCTGAACACTTTGGTATGATATTACTAAATATGCTGCTGATAGTTCTTTCTACATTGTTTATTTTTCGTGGTTGTCTTAGGATAGACTATCTTCATTGCCTAGTCCAAAAAATTCCGACTTTGATACAAGCCAAAATTTCTTCTTGCATGTAGTACACATTCCGAATACTTATAGTACTCTTCTTAAACCTTGGGTTTTTGTCGAATTTTTCCTATTTTCTAGGTTGCTTTGATTGAATTCAGGAGATCCTACTTTGTACTTGAATAATTTTCAAGAACATTTTTTTCTGAGTCTCTCTCTTGCTGGCCTTTCTTTCTCTCACTACCACCACCCACCACCTCATCTCATATCACATTTTTTCTCAATAATTCTTGAGAGTGGGGCCTTAGATGAGCAAGTCCTTCACTTTTTAAATGACATTAAAGTTTTATAAAGATCTTAACCACATGGATGAAAGTAGGAAGAAAATAAAATAGCTGCAATTATCAAACATTACACGTGAAAGCAAGTATTTCCTTTCATTTCATAATTTTAAGTAACTGCTTTGTTTTCAGAAATCTAGTCACTATATTGAAATGTGGAACATGTAAAAGCTAAGAAATTAAAGCTTTATTATAGGTTTCAGGCCAACTGCTATTGGGTTAATTTTGTCAACATGAAGACCTTTTTAAAAATGAAATCATATTTCTTGAAATAAACTTATTTTCAGGACAGACATTCTAAATTATTCAATTGTATTTATTGGTGTAAATTGATTTAGAAAAAATGAATTAAATACATGAACTAATAATAGTTTCTATAAGATCACTGTGGCAAATTTTGCTTCTATACTTCACAGTTAAAATTTGCTATCTGGCTACTACAGACAGCAGCCAGTGAATCTCACTCAGCTTTATCAAACTATTGCTTGGCAATTCCTCATGTAGGGGATTGTATTTAAAATTTTCTTTGCCTTATGAACTGACAAGTTGATTGGCCTTCAGGCCTGGGATCTTGGGTCAGGCCATTGGTAAAGTTCAGTGGCTAAGAAAGAGGTCACTGATTACTATTTATAATTTGTTTTCTGATAATTTTAGCATGCACATGAACTCAGAGGCCATGGGTTGCAGTTTATAAATTAAAACAAATGAATAAAAATATGTACAACTAATTCTGGCCATTTTCAAAGCACTAAGATATTTGTTATATTCATTTAAATTAGTATGACATTATGCTTAACTTTAAGGCAGAGGTGGACAATAACAAAATATCATCTTGTCTGTTTCTTCTGAATTTTCAGATGAGTATTTATAAAAATAACACTGATGAAAAATTACAAAAGTCATAACAAAATATTAAAGGGGGACTATATTCATTTAAACCCAATTAGTAATTCTTTATTGCTATTTACTTTATTTCTTAATATTCAAGACTTTAAAAAATTACTTTATCTGTTTTATATTTACCATATAATGTTTCATATAAAAAATATCTTCTAGGCTTCTTGTCATTGGTAAATCTTCATCTCTTGCTATTTATTATTTATCGGTAAATTCTACTAATAATTTTTTGGGGTCAATGGTTTTATTCTGCTTGACAAACAAAAATTTGATATAAAATTTCTTATAGTTTTGTAGCAAATTTTGTTCTTATACTTAGTTAAGAAAATTCTTAATACCTTAAAAGAAGATATAACCATACTTTAAGTGAGTATTTTACTAAAAACAAAAAAACAAAACAGTAAATTAAATTTTTGTCTGCACACTAAGCATTAGTTAAATCAAAGTTTTTATAAATGTTATATAATAAATTAATTCTGAAAATGCTTTCTTTCCATTTGTATTTTCTTTTTGCTTGATTTTGATGGGACTCTATATCAATGAGGAATATAAGGTCATTTCAAAAGAACATGATTATATAACCTAAATCTAATCAAATTGGGAACAACAAAAAGAGGCTGGAGATCAGAAATTTAGCTATTTTTAACATCATCCTTATATGCAGAGGGCATAGGAAAAAGAGATTCTATGTTATAAAAATGCTCAGTAATTACTCAAAAATTACTTGACATGAAAATAATATACATGAGAATTTTAATAAAAAAGAGATGAATAGAAACTAACCTAGAGATTACCCAGATGTAAAATTTAACAATGAATTTGAAGCAATTATTATGAGTCTGTTCTGTTTCAACATGGATGAACCTAGATCACATTCTGTTAAGTGAAATAATCTGGACACAGAAAAACAAATACTGCATGCTCTCACATCTATGTAGATGTAAGTTCTGTAAAAGTTAAACTCGAGCCAGGCACAGTGGCTGACACTTATAATGCCAGCACTTTGGGAAGCTGAAGTGAGTAGATTGCTTGATTCCAGGAGTTCAAGACCAGCCTGGGCAACACGGCAAAACCTCATCTCTACAGAAAAATACAAAAAAAAAAAAAAAAATAGTGGTGCATGGTGGTGCACATCTGTAGTCCCAGCCACTCAGGAGGCGTGGAAAGATCAATCAATCCCAGGAGATAAGGTTGCAGTAAGCCATGATCACACCACTACACTCCAGCAAGGGTGACAAGGTGAGACACTGTTAAAAAATTAATAATAAAAATTAAAACTTACACTTATAGAAGCAGAGAATAGTATGGTAGTTGCCTGGGACTGGAGTGTGAGGGAAATGGGAAGATGTTAGTTTAAGGATACAAACTTTCAGTTATAAGATGAAAAAGTTCTGGGGATCTAATTTTCACCATGGGTAGTGATAGATGTGTGTTAATTTCATGTGCTAATCATTATATAATGTATACATATATCAAATCATCACATGTACACCTTAAATATATACAGTTCTTATTATAAAACCAATTATTTTTAAAGAACATTAGAAAATATGTAAACATAAAATGCAAAGATGACAATATTGCCATAAGATAAAAAAGTAATTTTTAAAAAGGCAATATTATATTGAGATATATTCCAAATAAGGAAATTAATCAACATACACTAGAATAAACATGTAAGTCAAAGAAAAATTATAAAGAAAATTTAAAAATATTTTGAAGTGAATCATAATAAAATACATCATATCAAAATTTTAGAGATGCATAAAGAACATTTATGCTATAACGAAAATAAGAACAGAACACTTTGAAAGAAAAATATTTAAGAAAATTAACAAAGACAAATATCTGTTTTTTGAAAATATACAATTTGTAAAAATCTTAGTAAGAGTTATCAAACAAAAATAAACCAAGGATTTGAGAGAACTCACATTTTCCCCATTTTTCCACTTTGTGGGCAGCCTTGGATATAGACTTGTGTGACAAGATGTCATTGAAGGAATGCCTTGACAGGACATTTATTTTTCTGGTGAGAGAGAATAGGAAAAGAAGAACTTGTGGTTAAAATGCTGAAGGAAGTCTTTATTAACTTTTTATGCTTTTTTATCTTGTTGCTTAGTCCTGAGGGTGATCCCAAGAGAGTGAAGCTCAGTCATAGTGAGAAACAAAGTTTCTGAGAATAAAACCTATTTTTCTAGCCAGAGAACCAAGAACTGGAAAGTGTAACATAGAGAAAATCTACATTAAGTGATCCGGAGAAAACGATGCGCTAAATGTGCATATTAACTCATAAAACTCTTGGGCTAATCCCCAAATGGAACTTGCGCAAGATAAAACCAAAACAACACAGAACATGCTGAGAACTAACTATAAAGTCAACTGCAGCCCAAATCCAAGACTAACCACTAAAAGGAACATGGGCAATATAGAGCTCAGTCATTTAGAAAAAGCTGTGAAAATTGAACTTATATTAGAACCATTGCCCACAGAAGTTGACATACAAGACTGATCAAACCTAACCAAGCTTATTGTCTGCAAAAACAAACAAAAATTAACTTTGAAGTGAGTATTAACAGCAGCAATAACCCCACAATATACTTTTCAAAATTTCATAGATACATCCAAAATTACTTGACATACTAAGAACTAGAACAATGTGACAAATTCCAAATGGTAAAAGTAATGTCGATTTCAAGATGGCTTAAAGGTTGAAATTATTAGTTAACAACTTTAAAGCACCTATTATAACAATGCTTCTTGAGGTAAAGGAAAACACTTGAAATGAACAGAAAAATTTAAGTACTCTTCTGACAAAACCTGTATTAAAAATATAAATTTTGGTACAAAAATATATTAATAATAAATGAATTTAAAACGCATTCACTTGATTGGATCAAGATGACAGAATAAAGAGTCCATGCACTTGAAGATAGATCAATAGAAATTATACAAGCTTAAAAATAGACAGAAAAACTTGAAAAATAACAGTCTCTGAAACTTATAAAACATCAAAAAATAATAGCATTTGTCCCAGAAAGAGAGGCAAGAGATTAGTGTGGAAAGTATATTTGATGAAATGGTGACCAAAACCTTTTCAAATTTGGTGAAAGACATAAATTTATAAATTTAACAAGCTCAGCCATCTTAAACAGAATAAACTCAAGGAAAGCCATTCCTAGACACAGTGGATTCAAAACACTAAAACCCACAGATGAAGAAAAATTATTGGAAGCATCCAGCGAAAAATGGCATGTTAATGGTCCACATTGTTTTATATAACTATGGATAAACCAGACAGGCCAGGAGGCAGTAAAATGAAACATTTAAAGTACTGAAAGAGCGGTCTGTTCAGTATTTTGTTGATGAGTTAATGTCCTTTGAAGGGACATGGATGACACTGGAAACCGTCATTCTCAGCAAACTAACACAAGAACAGAAAACCAAATACCGCATGTTCTCACTCACAAGTGGGAGTTGAACAATGAGAACACGTGGACACAGGGTGGGGACACATCACACACTGGGCCTGTTGGGGGAAAGGGAGCTAGGGGAGCGATAGCATGGGGAGAAATACCTAATGTAGGTGACGGGTTGATGGGTGCAGCAAACCATCATGGTACGTGTATACCTATGTAACAAAACTGCACATTCTGCACATGTACCCCAGAACTTAAAGTATAATTTAAAAAAAAAAAACACCATGACACAAGTTTATCTATGTAATAAACCTGCAATTGTACCCCTAAACTTAAAGTTTTTAGAAAAGAGAACAACTGGAAAGGAGCATGAAAAAATTCTCTGAAGTAATAAAAATGCTCTATATATTAATAGGGATGGGGATTACATGGCTGTTAGCTTTTGACAAAATTGAGTTAAAGCCTTCATTAATGCATTTCATACTTTGTAAATTTTATCCAAATAAAAGATAGAATAGTAAATAAATATCAAATTTCTTTTTTGTAGTAATATTTTAGTAATTTTGAAACTACTTTCTGTGTGTTATAGGCTTGAACAAATGAATAAAAATTTTGAAAATAATGAAATCCCAGTTTCTTACATTTGGGAATTTGAAATATCAATATGAACTCATAGTTTTTAAGACAGATAGACATAAACAAATAGATGAAGAAATGATATGACGTATGTCATACTCCGTTTCTCTGCCCACTAAGAAAGAGGGCCTAGGAGCAATGACAGGTAGAAAATGAGCACACCTAGTACACTGATCTTGGTTTCTAAATACCATTTTCCATTAAAGTTTGCCAGGGCTTTATGAAGAAAAAGCTGACTCCAAGCTTGAGATATGAAAGTTAATAAATGAGCCTGAAATATCTTCTACTGTGTTCAATAACAAAATACTCAAAGAATGATGGAGACACATCAAAAAGACATAAATTCCAGATTTAAGACAGTCTCACTGAACAAATGTAATATACACTGGGAACCAAAAATAAACAATGATATTTATGGAATACATTGCACAAAATATAAATCCATGAGTAATCCTAATGAAAATAAATTAACAAATAAATAGAAAACTGTAGAGTTTATCAGACATTCATAGCTGTTTTTAGGAGGATGTATCTGTTTCATTATACTGGTGAAAAGAGAATTTCTTACAATCAAATTGGATTGCTAAATATATACCACCGTGGCTTATACCTCATATGAACATAATAAACATCTGTAAAATTTGGGAATAAAATATAGTAAGAAAAGCAAGTGATATTATATTCACTCAATGGTTTTCTTTTCAATAAAAATACCAATATAATGTTTTCAATTAATATTGAGACAATTTATCCAAACTACATGTTTTTATCATGTTTCAACAGATTACTTACTCAATCATAGAAAAAACTACTCCTCCAAACAGCAGTCTCTTCTCGATGCTTTCCATGATAGAGTTCCCAAATATTTCACAAGGGAATCCCATACAGAGAAGAAGAGACACACACACTGCCAGAAATGGGACAACAGGGAGCTTACTAGGATATTAATACACGTGAGTTACAGTAAATTAACCTAAATGAAGAGCTGCCACATACAGCATTGTGCCTACCGATTGCAAGTGAACAATTCTGGATGAACTGCCAGCTATCACTTATTCACTAGGCATCAGTAATGTTTGCTTCTAGTTGCAACAGTGACAAAGAACAAAATTTGAGACTAGTTTTAGTAATTTTGCTCCTGTTATATTCTCAAACACAGAATATGCATTATTTGCTATTGATTATTTTTATTTGTAAAGGCCATGAACCCCAAATTCTGTTATAGTTTCAAATTTTGCTAACCTAAATGCTTAAAAAAATACTTGTCATGTCTTTTCTTGTTTTAATTTGCAGTTATTCTCTTCTAACCCTTTTTTCCCTGGCTTTCACTAATATACATGACATTAAGCATTTGTCAAAACCTATAGAACTTTACAACACAAAGAGTGAATATGAATGTATGTAAAATCCAAGGATCTTCTTACTATTCCATGCTTGTGCTCTATGAGGATATCTCAATAAAAGATAACAGGAGATGTGACACTGAGAATCTGTAAGGTTTCATATGGCACATAAATTGAGCTATTTACTTTTTTCCCTGGAACACAGTATCTACTATAACAGAATATGAATGGAAGGAGGTGTTTGGCATAAAAAGCTGAGGCTGTGATGTTGACTTGAAAGTTAGTGGATGAAATGAATCACTTCATTCTGTTTATGTGATGGATTACATTTATTGATTTGCATACATTGAACCAGCCTTGCATCCCAGGGATGAAGCCAACTTGATTATGGTGCATAAGCTTTTTGATGTGCTGTTGGCTTCGGTTTGCCAGTATTTTATTGAGTATTTTGCATCAATGTTCATCAGGGATATTATTCTGAAATTTTCTTTTTTTGTTGTATCTCTGCAAGGTTTTGGTATCAGGATGATGCTGGCCTCATAAAATGAGTTAGGGAGGAGTTTCTCTTTTTCTATTGTTTGGAATACTTTCAGAAGGAATGGTACCAGCTCCTCCTTGTACCTGTGGTAGAATTTGGCTGTGAATCCATCTGGTCCTGGACATTTTTTGGTTGGTAGGCTATTAATTGCTGCCTCAATTTCAGACTTGTTATTGGTCTACTCAGGGATTTGACTTCTTCCTGGTTTAGTCTTGGGATGGTGTATGTGTCCAGGAATTTATCCATTTCTTCTAGATTTTCTACTTTATTTGAATAGAAGTATTTATAGTATTATCTGAGAGTAGTTTGTATTTCTAGGGGATTGGTGGTGATATCCTTTTTATCATTTTTATTGCATCTATTTGATTCTTCTGTCTTTTCTTCTTAATTAGTCTGGCTAGTGGTCTATCTATTTATTGATCTTTTCAAAAAATACCTCCTTGATTCATAGATTTTTTGAAGGGTTTTTCATGTCTCTATCTTCTTCAGTTCTGCTCTAATCTGAGTTATTTCTTGTATTCTGCTAGCTTTTGAATTTGTTTGCTCTTGCTTCTGTAGTTATTTTAATTGTGATGTTAGGGTGTTGATTTTAGATCTTTCCTGCTTTCTCTTGTGGGCATTTAGTGCTATAAATTTCCCTCTACATACTGCTTTAAATGTGTCTCAGAGATTCTGGTACGTGTGTCTTTGTTCTCATTGGTCCCAAAGAACATCTTTATTTCTGCCTTAATTTTGTTATTTACCCAGTAGTCTTTCAGTAGCAGGTTGTTCAGTTTCCTTGTAGTTGTGCAGTTTTGAGTGAGTTTCTTAATCCTGAGTTCTAATTTGATTTCACTGTCTGAGAGACTGTTATGATTTCCGTTCTTTTGCATTTGCTGAGAAGTGTTTTACTTCCAATTCTGTGGCCAATTTTAGAATAAGTGCGATGTGGTGCTGAGAAGAATCTATATTCCATTGATTTGGGGTGGAGAATTCTGTAGATGTGTATTAGGTCTGCCTGGTGCAGAGCTGAGTTCAAGTCCTGGATATCCTTGTTAATTTTCTGTCTCATTGATTTGTCTAATATTGACAGTAGGGTGTTAAAATCTCCCACTGTTATTGTGTGGGAGTCTAAGTCTCTTTGTAGCTCTCTAAGAACTTGTTTTATGAATTTGGGTGCTCCTGAATTGGGTGCATATATATTTAAGATAGTTAGCTCTTCTTGTTACATTTATCCCTTTACCATTTTGTAATGACCTTCTTTGTCTTTTTTGAGTTTGTTGGTTTAAAGTCTGTTTTATCAGAGACTAGGATTGCAACCCCTGCTTTCTTTTGGCTTTCCATTTGCTAGGTAAATATTCCTCCATTCCTTTATTTTGAGCCAAAGTGTGTCTCTGCACATGAGATGGGTCTCCTGAGTACAGCACACCAATGGGTCTTGACTCTTTATCCAATTTGCCAGTCTGTATATTTTAATATGCGCATTTAGTCCATTTACATTTAAGGTTAATAAATTTGTGTGTGAATTTGATCCTGCCATTGTGATTCTAACTTGTTATTTTACTCATTAGTTGATGCAGTTTCTTCATAGCATTGATGGTCTTTACAATTTGGTATGTTTTTGCAGTGGCTGGTACTGTCTGTTCCTTTCCATGTTTAGTGCTTCCTTCAGGAACTCTTGTAGGGCAAACCTGGTGGTGAAAATAATCTCTCAGCATTTGCTTGTCTGTAAAGTATTTTATTTCTCCTTTGCTTATGAAGCTTAGTTTGGCTGGATATGAAATTCTGGGTTGAAAATTCTTTTCTTTAAGAATGTTGAATATTTGCTGCCACTCTCTTCTGGCTTGTAGGCTTTCTGCTGAGAGTTCTGCTCTTAGTCTGATGGGCTTCTTTTTGTGGGTAACCTGACCTTTCTCTCTGGCTGCCCTTAACATTTTTTCCTTCATTTCAACCTTGGTGAATTTGATGATTATGTGTCTTGGGGTTGCTATTCTCGAGGAATATCTTTGTGGTGTTCTCTGTATTTCCTGAATTTGAATGTTGGCCTGCCTTGCTAAGTTGGGGAAGTAATATCCTGAAGAGTGTTTTCCAGCTTGGCTCCATTCTCCCTATCACTTTCAGGTACACCAAACATAGGTTTGGTTTTTTCACATAGTCCCATACTTCTTGGAGTCTTTGTTCATTTCTTTTCACTCTTTTTTCTCTAATCTTGTTTTCTTGCTTTATTTCATTGAGTAGGTCTTCCATCTCTGATATCCTTTCTTCCACTTGATTGATTCAGCTATTGATACTTTTGTATGCTTCACAAAGTTCTCCTGCTGTGTTTTTCAGCTCCATCAGGTCATTTTTGTTCTTCTCTAAACTGATTATTCCAGTTAGCAATTCCCCTAACCTTTTTTCAAGGTTCTTAGCTTCCTTGCATTGGGTTAGAATATGCCCCTTTATCTCAAAGGAGTTTGTTATTACCCACCTTCTGAAGCCTAATTCTGTTAATCTGTCAAACTCATTCTCCATCCAGTTTTGTTCCCTTGCTGGCGAGGAGTTGTGATCCCTTGGAGGAAAAGAAGCATTCTGGTTTTTGGAATTTTCAGCCTTTTGGCACTGGTTTCTCCCCATCCTCATGGGTTTATCTACCTTTGGTCTTTGAAACTGGTGACCTTTGGATGGGGTATCTGAATGAACGTCCTTTTTGTTGATGTTGATACTATTCCTTTCTGTTTGTTAGTTTTCCTTCTAACAGTCAGGCCCCTCTACTGCAGATCTGCTAGAGTTTGCTGGAGGTCTGCTCCAGACCCTGTTTGCCTGGCTATCACTGGAGGAGACTGAAGACCACCAAAGATTGCTGCCTGTTCCTTCCTCTGGAAGTTTCGTCCCAGAGGGGCACCTGCCAGATGCCAGCCAGAGCTCTCCTGTATGTTGGCCTCTACTGAGAGGTGTCTCCAACTCAGGAGCCACGGGCATCAGGGACCCACTTGAGGAGGCAGTCTGTCCCTTTTCAGAGCTTGAATGCTGTGCTGGTCGATCTGCTGCTCTCTTCAGAGCTGCCAGGTAGGGAGGTTTAAGTCTGCTGAAGCTGCACCCACAGCAGCCCCTTCCCCCAGGTGCTCTGCCCCATGGAGGTGGGGGTTTTGTCTATAATTCCCTGACTGGGGCTGCTACCTTTTTTTCAGAGAGGCCTTGCCCAGAAAGGAGGCCTTCTGACCGCAATGGCCTTTTTGAGCTGGGGTCCACCACTTAGAACTTCCTTGCAGCTTTGTTTACACTGTGAGGGTGAAACCACCTACTCGAGCTTCAGCAACAGCCCCTCCCCCGACCAAGCTCCAGCGTCTCAGGTCGATCTCAGACTGCTGTGCTGGTGTGAGAATTTCAAGCCAGTGGATCTTAGCTTGCTGGGCTTTGTGGGGGTGGGACCCACTGAGCCAGACCACTTTGCTTCCTGTCTTTAGCCCCCTTTCCAGGGGAGTAAATGGTTCTGTCTCACTGGTGTTTCAAGTGCCACTGGGGTACGGAAAAAAACTGTGGCTAGCTCGGTGCCTGCCCAAACAGCCACCCAGTTTTGTGTTGGAAACCCAGGGCCCTGGTGGTGTAGGCACTGGAAGGAATCTCCTGATCTGTGGGTTGCGAAGATCATGAGAAAAGCACAGTGTCTGGGCTGGAGAGCATGTTACAGTCCCTAATGGCTTCCCTTGGCTGGGAGAGGGAGTTCCCTGACCCCTTGTGCTTCCCCGGTGAGGTGACACCCCACCCTGCTTTGGCTCGCCCTCCTTGAGCTGCATCCACTGTCCAACCAGTCCCAGTGAGATGAACCGGGTGCCTCAGTTGGAAATGCAGAAATCACCCACCTTGTGCGTCAATCTCACTGGGAGCTACAGACTGGAGCTGTTCCCATTCAGCCACCTTGCCAGCCAACTCAAGTTTTGCTTATTTTCTTGTGGATGTTTTAAGCTTAGATTTCTCTTCCTTCTCTAGTTTTCTATGATAGAAACTTAGATTATTGATGTTAGATATTTCTTTTCAAAAATATTCACTCAATTCTATAAATTTTCATCCGAGTACTTCTTTGGCTATATCAAATTTTGGTAAGTTGTAATTTCACATTTATTTATTAAAAAATATTTGCTTAACTTGCTCTGAGGCCATTAATAATGGCTCACAGTTGTAATTCCTGCATTTTGGGAGGCCAAAGTGGGCAGATTTCTTGAACTCAAAGAGTTTAAGACAAGCCTATGCAACATAGCCAAACCCCATCACTACCAAAAAAAAAAAAAAAATTAGCTGGGCAAGGTGATGTGCTGTAGTTCCAGCTACTTGGGAGGCTAAAGTGGCAGGATTGCTTGAGCCCAGCAGGTGGAGGTTGCAGTGAGCTGAGATCATGCAACTCACCCCGGCCTGGGTGACAAAGCCAGACCCTGTCTCAAAAATAAAATAAAATAAAATAAAATTCCTGGGGACTTTGTTAAGCTATGCATTATTTAGAAGTGTGTTGTTTAATGTAATGTAATGTAATTCTATTGATTTCCAATTTAATTTTATTGTGCTCTAAAAGCATACTTTTTATTCTTTTAAATTTGTTAAAGTGTGTTTTATGGCCCAGAATGTGGTCTACCCTGGTGAAGGTTCCAAGCTTAAAAAGAATGATTATTCTGCTGTCCCTGGATGTAGCATTCTATAAATGTCAGTTGGATTCAGCTGATTAATGATGCTAGTCATTTCATATATATTTTTACTGATGTTCTACCTGCTTGGTCTATCAAGTGAAAAAGAGATTTTTAACTTACTTTGATGTATTTAGACCATTCACATTTAAAGTAATCATTGATAGAGTAGGGTTAATATCTACCATGTTTGTAACTATTTTCTAATTTTTTGCACTTGCTCCTTCCTTCCTTTTACCCCTTTTCCTGCCTTTTCTGGTTTTAATTGAGAATTTTATGTAATTCCATTTTTCTCTCCTTTTCTAACATATCAATTGTACTTTAAAAAATTGTTGTCCAGGCGTGGTGGCTCACACTTCTAATCTCAGCACTTTGGGAGGCTAAGGCAGGAGGATCACTTGAGCCCAGGAGTTCAAGGTGGCATTGAGCTGCGATCATGCCACTGCACTCCAGCCTGAGTGACAGAGCAAGACCGTGTCTCAAGAAAAAAACAAATGTGTTTCCTAAAGTTTGCAATATGATTGTAAAAGTAATGTAATTCTTGTTTGAATTAACACTAGCACTTCTCAACTAGTGCAGGTACATATAACAGAGTATACTCAATTCCTTCTTCCAGTTCTTAAAGAGAACATTGCAGTTATTCGTTCATTTATTTATCTGTTATAATCACACAATACATTGCTACCATTATTACTTTGAACAATTCTCTAAGTCAATTAAGAATAAGAAAAATAATAAATATATTTTACCTTCATTTGCTTTTTCTCCAGCACTGTTTATGTAAATCTGAGTTTCTGATTTACATAAAGTTTCTGATTTTCTGCTAATCTGGCTGGGAGTTGAGCTGTGATTGAAGGTTGCCACAGTTATAGGTGTCAAGATTTTCTAATTTCCCCTATGGCTGTTGTTTTACCCTTCTTTGTTATATTTTAGTTCCCTAAGGATTCCTTCTAAAATACAGTCTGTACCTTGCAGCTCCTCCAGCTCTAATCAACTGTTACTATACCAGAGCCCTGAGTGTGGGTGTTCTATGATGTTATGATTAAATCTCAGTCTTTTAGTGGCCTATATCCCTGTGCTGTGACCTTTATAAGTGTTTCTTATGTTGTTTTGTTGTTTGTTTCCCTTTCTTCCTTCTGAGGTGAGGTAGGAAGGCTAGACTTGACTAGAGTTGGGTAATTGCCCTTTCGCAGAATAGGTAAGATAAATTTCTGATAAAATCTTCTTCGCTAGATTATAGGCCTTTGTTATATAAAACACACTGGGCATATTTCAAGTGTTCACTTCTTTCCTTCTCTGCCAATGACTAAAGATGTTTTTTCTTGGCTCTTCACAATGACTACCTGAAGGAGCTCCTGGAGGTAAAACCCATGGAAGTGTGAAGACTCTCTAAGACTGAATGCCCAGGAGCGTCCCACTCTCAGGCTAGCTCACACCCCGCATCCAGAAGTTTATCACAAATACTATATATGTCCCTTCCAGTTTATGGCTCAGATGGCTTCTGCTCCACTAATGTAATCTCAGCTGTGCTTCTGTATACTAATCTCTCTTTTCAGATTTCAAAATAGTGATTTTCCTTGTGTTCTCAATTCTTTGATGGATCCAAAAATAGTCATTGATTCTGTTTCTTTAGACTTCTTCTTGTTCTAGAGAGAGAAGTAATGATTTTCCAGCACTGTACATATAGGAGCTAAAAGTAAAAGTCCTCAAAACTGGTTTGTAAAATAAGAAGGCACCTTGATGAATTCTATGCTGGTAATTGAAAAACTTACATGCAACTCTGTTATTGCTCAATTATTATCACATCACATGTGAATGAATTTTGGGAAGCATTATCAGTCATCGTTGTCATCATCATCACCAACATCATCACCATCATTTTGTTACACTTCCTCAGGTTGTAAAAGTTGGTAAAATGTGGTGGTGAAATTGTGTTTTCAACACAACTTCTTAAACAAAAAAGTCCGCAAGTGCCTGTAATCCCAGCTACTTGGGAGGCTGAGGAAGGAGGATTGCTTGAGCCTGGGAGGTGGAAGTTGCAGTGAGCCAAGATCGTGCCACTGCACTCCAGTCTGGGTGATAGAGCAAGACTGCATCTAAAAAAAAAAAAAAAAAAAAAATTCCTTCCTGTGAAGTGACACCACCTAACTAAGGATTTACTTCAGTTACATACAAGAGCATATCTAGGTATAAAACATAAGTATAAATGTTTGTCTAACATACCAATTTCAAAATGAAAAAACAAAAAGGAGTAAACAACTTACCAGTGGTTTAATACATCAAAAAGTAGAACTGATGCATTTTTAGAATCATGTCTTCAGACTGATCAAGGACATCAAATTCTTTAAGACAGATGACTATTCTGGGATGAATTTTAAAATGCACTGTACATACCTCTGCAAACTAGACATAAAATGATAAGAAATTCTTGCTAACATTCCTAACGCTAACTTTCATGGGAACCAGACCTCTTGGGAAATATAGTCCTTTGGTGTAAATGCTTAAATACAGAGTTATGTGAGCTGTGCAGGCAATGAAATATGATGAGATTTACTTTTAGTTAGAACTTAACTGAGACTTAGAATGATTCTGGAATGAGACTTCCAATGGTGAAAGATAAATGTCTAAATTTACTGTCCCTCTTAATCCTAAACTTTTTCCATAAATCCCCCCATTCCTCTTTATTAATGTAGTACAAGAATAAAAGACAAATTGGTGAAACCATGATCTAAGAATTTGTTTGCAGTACCACTGATTATGCCATTTTTTAATTCAAATGACTTTAGTGGCTAAGGTTTAGGTCCCCCAAAATTCTCATTTTTTGAGGCTTTTGAAAGTTATTTGCATAATTGCAAATAACCTAAAATTATTCTTACAGACATACAAAAAGTATTTTGTAAGTATTTACCAAGGGTGGGTGGTATTTCGCCTATTATAAAGAAATTTGTGTAATTTTAAAAAGTCTCCTTTTTCCTAATACAAATTTATTTTTTCCTTCTCCTTCAGTGCTCAAAATAGAAAGATTTAAAAAAACCCACACGCTAAATCTAATTCTCTCATCATTTTCTTAAAGGCTACTGAAAGGTATTTTCAAATAGGAATAATCCAATTAGCAATGATGGTTCAATCCAAGAAAAAAAATTTAGTTTCTCAATAGGTACCCATGAAGAACTGTTTATGGGCTGGCCTACAAAACTACATAAAATTTAATTTATATGTAAGTTTATAATAAATACAAACGTATGCATGAGGGCTAGATTATTTATAAAATGTTATATGTTTACAGAGGTCAAGACTTTTTTTCTTGTGTATCTTATAGCATATGGTATAGGCTAAAATTAGTGTAAACTTCAAACTACTACATTGTCACGTTTATGGACCCTTCACCTCTACCATACTGGGAGTTTATCAAAGGTAGTATTCATTGCCTGTTTTATACTGGATCCTAAATACATTGCTGTTAAATGAAACTGCACAAATTGAAATGTATGTGCTATGACTTCTTTCCCAAAATATGTTGTGAGATCCTTGAAGGTAGGCACATTTCTTTGTTTCTTTTTTTTTTTTTCCTTTACTTTTTGGTGCCTAGAACATGGTCAATTGATCAGCATACCCTAAGGATAGTGTAACCATTGTTACAAATCACTGGTTCTGGCCCGGATCACAGACTTGCTTTCTTTGGATCATGCAATGACTTTTAAGAACTAGAATTAGGTGCCAATACTTTTAACGTTGGGAAATTTTATATTTTTTAAACAGATCTAGATGTTTTGCTTTAATCCAAAAAATTGGTAGGTGCAGCCACAAAAGACCTACACTCACACATACCACCCTCCACTGAAGACGCTCCTGTCGAGGTGGGGAGAGCACACTCCACTTAGCACAGTCTGCTACCAGGTTGTTTTGCTTATTTACATTACTTCCCTGGATCCTCTGGGGTTTGAATTTTCTACCATTTATCTTCTTTAAATATTAATTTTCATGAAGTGTTCTGGATATACTAGTCTCAGTGGATGCTCTAAGGAAAAAAGAAAAATCACAACAACAACAAACTTAACTAAACTTGTTTACCCAACATTTTCAGACACTGTTGGCTGCAGAGGCCTTTAAAGATATGTAACAGATATGTAATGATACATAACAGAACTAGCAATTCATGGTACATATTTAATATTTATATCAGTAAGTTAAATGTTCTCACCCACTGAAAATATATGACTTGTCTTGTCCAGGCTCCTTTAGTTTGAGGCAAAGTTTATATGCTAACATATTTTTGTGGAGCAAGAGGATGAAAAAGATTTGCAATCCCAGGGCAACAAGAGTATGGGTAAAAGGAGATTAAAACAGAGAAAGAGGAAACGCTATCCTAAGGTGGTACTCCACTAAGCCAGTCAGGCCTCGTAATGACACGTAGCTGAATGCTCAACAACACCAGGTACCACTGGACTGGCCATATGGAGCCATCATGCCTTAGAACAACCATTGCTGGTTCCTTGTTGCCTTCTGTCTCTCACTGACGAAAATTCCCTGCCTATTTTAAGTTAGTTAGCTGTCCCCTACAGGTAGACACTAGGAAAGCCATACTCAGCCACAAGCATTAGGAGACGAGATTGCCAGTGACGCCTAAGAATCTTCAGTAGGCAAATGGTCCAGAAGGTAAGTAGGAAGTATCAAACCTGGAAGGTAGATAGAGTTTGATATACTCCTTAAAAGGTGATACTTCACTCTGAAAATTTAATGCAGCAAGAACAAAGCAGGAGTTTTCCAGTTTGTATCTGTTTCCACTAAAATCATGGCATTTCTGCCTTCCAAGACTGGCTATCTTCCATTCTTACATGAAATCAAAAATATTGCAAATGTATTCACAATAATTATGTTTAAATGTACTTTATGTCAATAATGTGCAAATAAAGACTGTAGCTAAAACCTGCTTTCTTCCTTGGAAGACAATAATTGTTTAAAAAAAAATGAAGACAAAGTAAAAAATCCCATTTATACTCTCTGGGATCTAAGTTTGAAGAATTATAACAAATATACCATAATATTTTCTGCTAATGATGTAAAGAGCTTAAAATTATTGTTTCTTTAGAAAGAAAAGTTTCTATGTGGTATACTTACACCATGGAATACTACGCAGCCATTAGAAGAATGAAATCATGTCTTTTGCAGTAACATAGATGGAGCTGGAGGACATTGTCCTAAGTGAAGTAACTCAGAAATAGAAAGCCAAATATTGCATGTTTGCACTTGTAAGTGGAGGCTAAACAATGGTTACACATGGACATAAGATGGAATAATAAATACTGGAGACTCCAAAACAGGGAGACAAGGGACGAAAAGTTATTTATTAGGAACAATATTTACTCTTCGGGTGATGGGTACGCTAGAAGCCCAATTCCCACCAGTATGTGATATATCCATGTAACAAACATGCACATGTACCCACTGAATCTAAAATAAAATTAAATCTTTAAAAATAGAGAATTCTCTTTCAGGATACTGGATATGAGGAGAGTATAAAGAAAGATTCAATTATTTCATTATTTGATAGACACATTTATTTTCCATTGCTTCATTTTTGTTTCTCCACTCTATATTCCTATGTTCATTTTTTTCACCTAGATATTACCTTTTTCAAAAAATTCAGAGCAATTTTAGGTTTATAGCAAAATAGAGCAGAAAGTACACAGAGTTCCCATATGACCCCTGTACACAGAGAAGCACGGCCTTGTCCACTACCAATATCTTACACAGAGTGGTAAATTTGTTACAATCAGCAGGCATACACGGACACATAATTATCACTCAAACTCATGGATATGACCTTTGATGTTGCATCTAAAATGTCATTCAATACAATAGCAAATACAAATAGCAAAGAATTCTCAGTCTCTCCACCTACAAACACTTCACACTTTATTTTTCTGCATTTTTGCATAGGAGATTTTCTCCTATGTTATAGTCTAAGAGTTTTACAGTTTACATTTATGTGTAAAATCCCTTTAGAGTTAACTTTTGTAAAGGGTATAAGGTCTGTATCTAGATTCGTTTTTTATCATGTAGATACTGTATCCAGTTGTTCCAAGCACCATTTGTTGAAAAAACTACCTTTTCTTTGTTTCTTTGCCTTTGTTTCTTATCAAAGATCAGTTTACCTTATTTGCGTAGGTCTGTTTCTGAGCTATCTATCCTGTTCCATGGATCTATTTGTGTATTCTTCTGCCCACTACCATACTGTCTTGATTACTGTAGCTTTACAGTAAGTTTTAAGGTTTGATAGTGTCAGTCCTTTGACTACTTTTCTCATTCAATATTGTGTTGCCTATTCTGGGCTTTTCTCCTCTTCATATAAACCTTAGAATCAATTTGTCAACATGTTCAAAATATTTTGCTAGGATTTTGATTGTGATTGCATTAAATCCATGGACATGTTAGTAATACTGAGTCTTCCTATCCATGAACATGAAACATCTCTTAATTTATTTTGTTCTTCTTTAATACCTTTCATCAGAGTGTTGCAATTTTCTTCATATATATTTTGTACTTATTCTGTATATGTATTTGTGGAATTCCTAAGTATTTCATTTTGGAGGGTGCTAATGTAAATGATACTGTATTTAAAATTTCTAATTTCAGCTGTTCAACTTTGGTATGAATGCTTACTTAAAATTCACAATACTGTAAGGTGAGTTTTATTATATTTTTGATACACATGAAGCCACTGAGTCTTATAGAAGCTAAGTAATTTGGTCTTGGTCGCATCAACAGTTAAGTAGCAAATGGAATTTGACCCCAAAACTTTCTGGCTTCAAAGTTCTCCCCCACCTCTATGACTCACAGCCTTCGGTGATCACAGTAATCTACACACAGCTATCACACATTTGATGGAAAATTATAAATATTGCACAACTATAGTAATGTGGACATCTTCAGTTCCTGAGTCTCTTCAGGGACAAGATTTAATATAAAATGGTTGTTGATAACATAGTTTACAGTCTCTTCACCTGTTCTTCTGCTCTCAGGTGAGTTTGCCCAAGCAAAGGTCAAGTTTGAAGTCCCTAAGCATTTTACGTGCTTTGATAAGGCAGAGACTGAAGTTATATTTTCCTAGTCCTCTTTGAATATGACCTCAGAATATAACCGTGCCACAAAATATTCCAGAAAGCATGTCATTTGGAGAATTAAAGATGGCTTTGCTTTCCCCAAACTTCACTGAAATTAAGACAATTTTAATGAATTTTCAAAGACTGAGCAAGATATTTTTGGCAACATTACTTCTTACCTGGGACATTCAGAAAATATGTAAACTCTCAGTGTTCTGTTGAAAACATGCAACAATTATTCTGTAAATGTTCCCAACACTTTACATATATATATAAAAGACAATTTTATTGTGCTTTCTTCATGCAGCTGCCTTCTCTTCTCATTTCATTAGTCTTAGAGTTTTCCTACATCGCAACAAATACTTGTATCCATCCATAAATAAATTCAGGCTGTTTAGGTAAATGAAATTACAACATGTAAATATTGTTTTACATTTATTTATTCAGAAGAAGCAATTGTACAAACAGA
The DNA here is from genome assembly GCF_000001405.40 of Homo sapiens. NCBI lineage: Eukaryota > Metazoa > Chordata > Mammalia > Primates > Hominidae > Homo > Homo sapiens. The sequence continues at coordinate 155,775,839 of NC_000002.12, forward strand.
AAAGTTGGAGTAGTGAATCATCCACCTTATAATGCCATCCAAGATAGCACTGGTATTCCAGTGGTAGCAAATACCTGGGTATTCCCAAACTTGTCTTGAATACTTATGCCATCTCTTGGTATAAATGAAGCTTTTCTTTTTCAAGTTTTCCTTTCACTCTACATATACTTCAAGCACACCATTTGTATCAGTGGCTTCAAGTCTCAACTGAAATATAGATTCTAAATATTGACCATTGCCAAATCTATGTCTCTAGCACAGAACTCAAAAGTTTTGGAATACTATGCAGCCACAAAAAAGGATGAGTTCCTGATCTGTGGAGGGACATGGATGAAGCTGGAAACCATCATTCTCAGCAAACTAACACAAGAACAGAAAACCAAACACCGTATGTTCTCACTCATAAGTGGGAGTTTAACAATGAGAAAACATGGACACAGGGAAGGGAACATCACACACAGGGGCCTGTCAGAGGGTAGGGGGTTAGGGGAGGGATAGCATTAGGAGAAATACCTAATGTAAATGATGGGTTGATGGATGCAGCAAACCACCATGGCACATGTATACCTATGTAACAAACCTGCACGTTCTGAACATGTATCCAAGAACTTAAAGTATAATTTAAAAAATAAAATAAATAAGAATTACTCACCCATTAAAAAAAAAGATAATGTATTTTCCAGTGTGCTTTACTTTTATTTTCTTAGGCTCTAGTTTTACATTTCCATTTAGCTTTATTTTCTCTCTTTTTCTTTTTGACCTCTCAGAGGATGCTACACTATAATTTCATGGGTATTCCCTATACATATTCAGTTGGTCCCTACTTGTCTCTGTTCTCCCAGGGACTTAGTCTTTGCACTGATGTCTTCACTTCAGCTTGCATTTACTCTATTCTCAATGGCTGACTCTTCTTTCATCACACCTGAAGGCTTTTTCTCCTTCTATCTGACACACAAAAAACTCCATTTTTATATGACTTTAAAAATATTTTCCCATTATAATCTAAATTTCTTGTAATTATATGTTTTAATAAATCTTATTTTATGAAGATCTAATTTCTGACTTCATCTTCCTTTATAAAATATACTAGATGACTGTAACATATATGTTAACATTTTTCTAGTACTTACCAATAGAAACCATTACATTGTTTTGTATATGCATTAACTCAGTTAATCCCATTTCAACACTATATTTGGCAGATATTATTACCTCAATTTTAGAAATGGAGAAATTTAAATATACAAAGTTAACTAACTTGTACCAGGTCACACCAATAGAAAGTGCAGGTTTTAAATCCAGGCTATCTGATTCCTGAGTCTGTCCTCTTTACCTCTATGCTATATTGCTTTGTTATTAGGTAAATATGAAGCATTCATTTAGAGATAATTGTGGCTTCTATGACATAATAAAAAAACTGAATAGGTTACTATAAAAAATAATGGGTTTTGAAATTAAAAACCCTTTTGTCAAAATACCAGTTTTATTTAGTAGCAGTGTGACCTTGAACAGTTCATTCCATCAGAAAACAATACCGAACATTTAAGAATTAAAAAGCTGAAAAATAAAAGGGGGTGGGAAGGTAATCCCAAAGGATATGAAAGTCATAAAGAAAACAAAAGAAAACTCAAAATTTGTATTATACAATTTAAAAGAGCTCTAAAAAAACACATACATAAAACAAGAACAGATTACTGTAAGAAGTTTCTGAGAATTAAATACATAATTATCAAAGTTTCAAAAGTAATAATAATTAATAGAATGCATAATACATGTAGCTGAAGTCTGAGTTTGTGAACTGGAAGATGGACAGAGAAGAATTCTTGAGGCAAGTGTAAAATTTCAAGCCTGATACTGAACACAGTGGAAGTAGCGTCTTTAGAGAGAAAAAGAGAAGCAAATATCCTTGAACAAATACTGATGTCTAAAAACAAAAACAACAACAACAACAAAAAAACGGGCCACTCTACATTTAGCGAAAAAACTGGGGAAGAGTATTTCTTACTAAACGATCTTAATGAAATTTAAGAATACTAAGAATCAAGAGGAAAATTCTCCAAACCTCCAGAAAGAAAACAGGGATAACCTACAAATCAGTAGGATCAGATTTCCATACACTTGCACATATGAATCTATAGAATAATGATCACAAAAATCTGAAGGAAAGGATTTTAAAATCTTATTTTTAGAATCAACAGACCTATTTTTAAATACTGTTACACATTTTTAAAATATGCAAATTCAGAAATTATGTTATTCACATAAACCTAGAAACCATTTCTGAACAAAATAATTGCAGCAGTATATGCCAACAAAATACAAAGTAATACCAAACACCAGAGCCACAGAATACAAGAAAAATGAATTAATATCTACTAATAAAATGTATAATTAATATAAGATAATTGTCGCTATTATGATTGTATATGTTTTCTTTCAAATGGAGATTTCTGAAATAGAAGAAACACAATGGAAAACATTTATTAGCAATGTGAAAATAAAGTTGCAGAAGATTTAAGGGAAGGGATGGGCAATAGTCAAGTTGAAGAAGAAGGTCTTGTCTTACTTGAAGAAAAGCCGTACCTACTGATTATTATATAGCCTTGATTTTTTCTATGTCTAAGAAAAGCAGAATGGTAGAATAAAAGTAAAACAATAATAAAATAGAAATAGAAAACTTTGACTCTAGTAACAGATATAAAACCAAACATATCAGTTGCCAATTACAATGTTAGATAGACATTAGACAAAACATATCAATGACTATAATAAATGAATGTTTAAAATTTCTCCCCCTTACACATCTAAGACATTCAGAAGGAATTTTCTTTAGTGCCCCATATAATTCTAACTTGCACATGTCTTACTTTATTCCTTTTTGTTATCCCTTGCCCCTTCATGGGCCCTAATTTCTTTAAGCATTAATAATGGAACATGATTGATGTGTTACTAAGAGGAAAATGTATACCCTTAAATTATTCAGTTCTAAATGGCCCAGGGGTCTAGACAATTGTGAAGGACCTTTTTCAGGGGAACAGATTAAGTCAGATTTTATTTAATAGTTTGTTACCATAATATATAATTTTTAAATATTTAGAGATATGATGTCTAGGTTTCTATCTCTACTCCCACTCTATACCCTCCTAATGTCACAGGTGGGCCTGTACTTAAGATTTACAAATGTGTTTGACAATGTTTTGCACATTATTTTTGTTGCATTCTCCTCTTTCTTCTAAGATTAATTTCTATTTTGATGATATTTATAATTAAGTGTTCCTCTAATGAAGGTTTGTGAAATGTAATCCTCCTCGGTCTAGGCCAGGGAATACCTTCATTTTGTTCTTATATTTGAATCATAAGTAGAAAATTCTGGGAGATGTTTACCTTCAGCATCCTCAAAATATAATTCTGATATTTTTATTATTTATTTTGTTGGTAATGAATCTGCCAAGAATCCAATGATTTTTCCTTATAGCCTATCTCTTGTTTCTTGCCTCTTTAACAATTTTTTTTTATTTTTCATGTTCTCAGTTCTCTATAATGCAACTTAGGTGCAAATTTATGTTTTTTATTCCACTCAACAAAAAATAATATCTTTCTTCAAACTGGAGACTAGTAGCTTTTATTTGATTTTTGATGTTCAGTTTTTTGCAAGTAACTCAAATTACCTCCCAAGTACACCAAAGCAGGCCTATTGGATTTTTCTCCCAGTATAAGCATTAGGGCCTAAGCTCAAAAACATCCAGAAGCAAAAACCCCCACGAGCTTCCTAGATTTAAAATTTGCTCACAGCTCTTCCGTTTAGGCCCTTCTTCTTATAAGGCAACCTGGAATTCTCTTTTCTGGGATTCAAATTCAGCTAAGTACATATTAGTTTCTGCTTGGTCCTACCTATCTACATATATATGGGGGAAGGGTATTAAGATCTTTCCTCATCAGTTTAACCAGTCTCCATTACTGATTCAAAAATTTTATCTCTCCTTCATTTGCTCACTAAGGTAATCTCAGTTTGGGAATAAAATTTTTGTTGATATATAAATAAACACTGGAAATTTCTTATTATTTCCTTATTACTTTTTTATCAAGAATTAAGTAGAGGAAAGAAGATATTTATGCCATCCCTACATCTTTCCATCCCATTTTTAATGGTAAACCAAGGAAATCTACATGTTATCCTGTGAGTCACTCTGGTCATTATGTTCCATTTATGATATCATCTAATAACGTCCTTCTCTCTTTTTGTATTTCCCTAAACCAAAAACTATATGTGAAATATCTCTTACCACAAAGATTTTTAGTACTCACACAATAACAAAAACATGTGAGACTGGCAAGGTAGGGTGGCAGGGAGACCCTGTGTAAGAATAGTGTTATTTTTCACTTGGAATAGCGAAACTTATCCTTATTTCCAGGGATACCTGGAAGTCTGGTACTGATCCTTGGTCAGAAAAAAAATGAAGTGTAGATGCAATAGATAGTGATTATCATATCCGTTTTAAAGCTGGAAACACCACTAGAGAAATCCTCTACTATTAATAGCTTGTCTACGTTCTTTGGGATATATAAATAAATGTTCTGTATTTGGTTTAAATGGTTTCCCAGCCTGTCTTTAGCTGTGTGATATGTAGGAAAAACTGATTGCTCTGTAGTTCTGTGGTTGGACTTCCTGGAAACTGATCTACCTCACACTGATCTGAGCATTTCAGAATCTGAATGTGAAGCAAGTCCTTTGTGGCTGAGAAGGATCCTGAAGGGCTGCAGCTGTAAGTTTGATACATCTCTGTGACTTTCTGCTCCTTGTTTCTCCTGTTGAGTGTATACTTTACCTTCCTTAAAGACTTTATTCCATCTTATCCTGTGGAGTCTTGTGAGTCCTTTCAATTAACTGACCCAGTGTAATTGAGGCAGGTACAAATAAAATATGTAAAGTATCACTGTATTTATTAAAGACACTTTAAAAGGAAATTTCTAAATCTCTATCTCATTTTACAGATAGAGAAAATAAAGTAGAGAAGCTACATGATTTGTACCGTATTGTCATGTAAATTCTAAATTGCTGTGATTTTTTAATTATATGGAGGAATGGTTATTGAGTTAAAATTTGTAAGAATTGTGTTTCCAACAAAGATCAAAAAAGACAAAGAAAAGCATTATATAATGGTAAAGGGTTCAATTCAACAAGAAGATGTAACTATCCTAAATATATATGCACCAAACACAAGAGCACCCAGATTCATAAAGCAAGTTCTTAGAGACCTCCAAGGAGACCACAATAATAGTGGGAGATTTCAAAACTGCACTGATATTATTAGATGAATCATCGAGGCAGAAAAGTAACAAAGATATTCAGGACCTGAACTTAGCACTGGAACAAATAGACCTAAAGACTTCTACAGAACTCTGCACCCAAATGCAACAGAATACACATCCTTACTACCACATGGCACATTCTCTAAAGTTGATTATATAATCAGAAGTAAAACACTCCTCAGCAAATGCAAAAGAACTGAAATCGATAACAGACTCTTGGACCACAGCACAATCAAATTAGAAATCAAGACAAAGAAATTCACTCAAAACCATACAATTACATGGAGACTGAATAACCTTTTCCTCAAGACTTTTGGGTAAATGATGAAATTAAGGAAAAAATCAAGAATTTGTTTGAAACTAATGAGAACAAAGATACAACATACCAGAATTTCTGGGATGCAGCTAAGGCAGGGTTAAGAGGAAAATTTATAGCACTAAATGCCCACAACAAAAAGTTAGAAAGACCTCAAATTAACAACCTAACATCACAACTGAAAGAACTAGAGAACCAAGAGCAAACCAATCCCAAAGCTACCAGAAGAGAAGAAATAACCAAAATCAGAGCTGAACTGAAGGCGATAGAGACATGAAAAACCATTCAACAGATCAACGAATTCAGGAGCTGGTTTTCTGAAAAAAATTAATAAAATAGACCAATAGCTAGATTCATAAAGAAGAAAAATAGATGATTCAAATAAACACAGTCAGAAATGATAAGGGGGATATTACCACTGACCCCATAGACATACAAACGACCATCAGAGAATATTACAAACACCTCTATGCATATAAACTAGAAAGTCTAGGAGAAATGGATAAATTTCAGGACACATATACCCTCCCAAGACTGAATTAGGAAGAAAATGAATCCCTGAACAGACCAATAACAAGCTCTGAAATTGAGGCAGTAATAAATAGCCTACCAACCAAAAAGAGCTCAGGACTAGATAGATTCACAGCTGAATTCTACCAGATGTACAAAGAAGAGCTGGTACCATTTCTACAGAAACTATTCCAAAACAATTGAGAAGGAGGGACCCCTCCCTAACTCATTCTATGAGGCCAGCATCATCCCGATACCAAAACCTGGCAGAGATACAGCGGAAAACAAAGCTGCAGGCCAATATCCCTGATGAAACTCGATGCAAAAATTCTTAACAAAATACTGGTAAACCTTATCCACCACGACCAAGTAGGTTTTATCTCCAGGATGCAAGGTTGGTTCAGCATATGCAAATCAATAAATGTGATTCATGACATAAAGACAACTAAAGACAAAAACCACATGATTATCTCAATAGATAAGGAAAATATTTTTGATAAAATTCAACATCTCTTCATGTTAAAAACTCTCAATAAACTAGGAGTTGAGAATAATAAGAGCCATATACAATTGACACACAGCCAACATAATACTGAATGGACAAAAGCTGAAAGCATTCCCCTTGAAAACTGACACAAAACAAGGATGCCATCTCTCACAACTCCTATTCAAAATAGTATTGGAAGCCCTGGCTGCGGCACTCAAGCAAGAGAAAGAAATAAAGGACATTCAAATAGGAAGAGCGGGAGTCAAACTATCCCAATTTGCAGATGACATGATCCTATATCTAGAAAACCCCATAGTCTCCACCCAAAAGATTCTAAAGTTGATAAACAATTTCAGCAGTTTCAGGATACAAAATTAATGTACAATTAATGTACATCTCTATATACCAATAACATTCAAGCCAAGAGCTAAATCAGGAATGAACTCCCATTCACAACTGCCAAAAAAAGAATAAAATACCTAGAAGTACAGCTAACAAGGGAGGTGAAAGATCTCTACAAGGAAAACTACAAAACACTGCTCAAAGAAGTCAGAGGAAACCCAAACAAATGGAAAAACATTCCATGCTCATGGATAGGAAGAATCAATATCATAAAAATAGACATACTACCCAAAGCAATTTATAGTTTCAGTGCTATTCCTATTAAATTACCATCCACATTCTTCATGGAACTAAGGAAAACTAGTTTAAAATTCCTAGGGAACCAAAAAAGAGCCTAAATAGCCAAGGCAATCCTAAGCAAAAAGCATGCAGCTGGAGGCAACATGCTACCTGACTCCAAACTATACTAAAGGACTACAGTAATCAAAACAGCATGGTACTGGTACAAGAACAGACACATAGGCCAATGGAACAGAACAGAAAACCCAGAAATAACACTGCACACCTACAACTATCTGATCGTTGGCAAATCTGACAAAAACAAGCAATGGGGAAAAATTTCCTATTTAATAAGTGGTGCTGGGATAACTGGCAAGCCATATGCAGAAGATTGAAACTGATCCCCTCCCTTACATCTTATACAAAAATTAACTCAAGATGGATTAAAACTTAAATGTATAACCCAAAATCATAAAAATCTGGGAAGACAACCTAAGCAATACCATTTAGAATACATGGGCAAAGATTTTATGACAAAGATGCCAAAAGTAATTACAATAAAAGCAGAAATTGACAAATGGGATCTAATCAAACTAAAGAGCTTCTGCACAGCAAAAGAGGCTATCAACAGAACGAACAGACAACCTACAGAATGGTAGAAAATTTTTGCAAACTACGCATCTGACAAAGGTCTAATATCCAGCGTCTATAAGGAATTTAAACAAATTTCTGCATTAGCTTGATAAGGATAATGGCTCCATCTATGTCCCTGTTTCTTCCCTACAAGAAAAAAAATACTCTATTAAAAAGTGTTCGAAGTACATGAACAGACCCTTTTCCAAAGAAGACACATATGGCCAACAAACATATGAAAAAAAGCTGAATATCACTTATCATTAGAGAAATGCAAATAAAAACCACAATAAGATACCATCTAACACCAGTCAGAATAATTATTACTAAGAAGTCAAAAGATAATAAGCTGTTGAGGTTGTCGAGAAAAAGGAAGACTTATACAGTGTTGGTAGGAGTGTAAATTAGTTCAACCATTGTGGAAGACAGTGTGGCAATTCCTTAAAGACCTAAATAAAGAAATACCATTTGACCCAGAAATCCCATTACTGGTTATAAACCCAAAAGAATATAAATCATTTTATTATAAAGACATATGTACGTGTTTATTCCTTGCGGCACTATTCACAATAGCGCAGACATAGAATCAACGTAACTGCCCATCAATGGTAGGCTGGATAACGAAAATGTGGTACATATACACCATGCATTACTATGCAGCTATAAGAAAGAACCAGATAGTGTCTCTTGCAGGGACATAGATGGAGCTGGAGACCTTTTTTTTTTTAGCAAGCTAATGCACAAATAGAAAACCAAATACCAAATGTCCTCACTTATAAGTGGGAGCTAAATGATGAGAACACATGGACACATAAAGGGGAACAACACATACTGGAGCATATTGGATGGTGAAGGTGAGGGAGGGAGAGAATCAGGAAAAATAATAGGTACTGGGCTTAATGCCTGGGTGATAAAATAATCTGTACAACAAACCCTCATGACACAAGTTTATCTATGTAACAAACCTGCACATGTACCCCTGAACTTAAAATGAAAAGTAAAAAAAAAAAAAAAATTAAAGGAGCTCAATTGAGAATTCACAAATAAACTGAAGAGTTTTCTCTTTTAATAAAGTTAACAAAAAATGTATTAAAAAGAACAAGTATGTCAGAACAAGACATCTAATCTGTAGAGGAAATAATACTCAGAAGCAGATATTATCACAGAAATGAGTACCATTAAACTACTGAAAGTAACTTACTGATTTTGAACTAAATGTTTCTGTTTTCACTAGCACGAAAGACAGATATGAATTAAACACTAAGGAAAAACAGAAATGAGTGACACAAAGGGCATTTTATATGTATACAAATGTATAAAATGTATATATGCTTATCTCTTTCTATATAGAGAGAAAGAAGATAGAATAGAGAGTAAGAGAGAGAATAGAGGACAATGAAGGGAATTCTCAAGAGTATACTCCAAATAAAATATATTTATTTCACAGAGTTCTTTCTACGAAAACCAATGTAAGAAGCAGGAGCATTCTGTGCTGGTAACTGGTGAAAAAAGTCAATGATTGTTACAAATGAAGACTTAAGAAGGAAATTTTTCAAGTTTAAAACATAAGGAAGTTTTTGATCAAACAATCCATGATTCTCCTTTTAAAACTATATAAATAACATCTAATGTTAAAAAAGTATAAAAAGCAGATACTGGCTTTATTCCTATAGTAATAGTAAAAGAGAGGGTAATAAACTGGAGGTTACTAAGTATTGAAGTGAGATACAATGTTACAACTAAAAAATCAGCAAAACCTAGAAATGGAATCATCATAGGGTTTTAAATAATTGTCTACTATTTGGGGGAACCAATAAATGTGCACACAGAATTATTTTATAGTACATTATATCAAAAATTAAATACAAGTGGGGTTTAAAGTAAGCTATTAGAACTAGTGAGCTATTCTATAACATTTCTGTTTTTATTATAACCAGTGTTACAAAGAACATTTGTAAAGTCATATTTGCCTACTTGCCTATTGCCTTAGGAGAAAACACAAGGAATTACACTGCTTGGTTAAATGAATTATATTGCTTGGTTGAAGTTAATTATTTAATATAAACTGGCATAAAGATTGATTAAAAAAATTGAAATCATGATTTTGTCTTTCTTGGTGTAGAATCATGATATAGAAATTTAAATTGAATACAGATCACTTTACATTTTCTTCAGAGAAGGGTTAAGCTCATTTAACAGGTTGTCGACAAATCCTAAGACACTTGGCTTTTTGAGCTTACTTTGCTTTTATGTGGAAAGTCCAAATTTGAAAATTTCCACTAGATTTTATGACATTATGTTACACTCTTTCTAATTTAGTCATTCTGCCTTACAATCAGCCATTACATCCCTTGGGGAAATGTAAAATTTAAACAGACATTAAACTCAAATAACTTCCCTGCCTATCAGAGAAATGACAAGGAAATACTGTTACATATCATGTCATTTATGACACTTGTGATTAAGAGCATATATATATATATTATATATATATATATACACACACACACACACACACACACACACACATGTTGAATGCTAAAGAACTGGATGTACTGAACGGATGTATTTGGATATTCCCAAATTTTAAAAGGAAAAAAATCATAGTAAAATAAATTATAAAGTAAAAATACAGTTTTAGTTGGTATCAACTTTAAAAAGCTGTGCTTCAAATGTTGATAGAACTCTTCAAACTTTAGGATATACTTACGTAGAATACTTTTATGATTGTATATAAGATACCAAGATATCCCACAGTAGATTATTTAAACCAAAATGGGATCAGTTTATAAATCTTGCAGTACTGGTTTGAAATCCGGACATTACAGACAACAGAGGACAAAAGGGGAATAATATAAGCAAAAAGAATAAAATAAAATATGTGAAACGTTGGTACATATTAACCTATTCTGTATAATTTTTCACTTCACAGTATCATTTTCTTTGTGTCTGCAAGTACCCAATGTGATAACTTTGCTCTAAGTCACTTCCTAAGTCAAATCCTCTGTCCCCTGTAATTTAAAATAGCCCACCTCACCCCTCCCCCAAATTTGGAAACTACATCTCTCAGAACAGTTAACCTCATTTACATATTAGATACAAGTTAACTTTACCAAACTAATTTAATGTTTGTCTAGCTTGGCTGATGATAATAATAATCTGGGTTACACATCAAATACTAAAAAGTTTAGAAACTCCCAGGTCTCATTCAAGACCAGTTGATTGGTCTGTTTGAATTACCCATCCCAACCAGCATATGTGTGAATGATGTGTTTATGTGTATATGTGTGTGTATATCTATATCTGTAATATTATGTGTACTAATAATGTGCTTTTACTTATACCACGCAAGTATACATTGTAATATATATTTATATGCAACATAATGTATGTTGTAACAGTATATCATGTAAATATGCATTTTATGGCAAGCTATAAAATGCGCTTACTAAGTGAAGAACATTTAAATTATTTCATATAATTAAATTGTATTATGAATAACAGTGACAAACCTCTTTTTTTGAGACACGGTCTCACTCTGTCACCCAGGCTGGAATGCAGTGGTACAATCACTGCACCTCAACCTCCTGGGCCCAAGCAATCATCCCGCCTCAGCTTCCCAAGTAGCTAGGACTACAGGTGTGCACCACTGAACATCTTTATAAGTAAATTCCCTTTCCCTTTGTGACTTTTGCTTTGAATAGTCTTTTATCTAAAAACAATAGAAGAAAATGTTTTCAAATGTTTTGTGAAATCCTGACACTTAATCTGCTTTTTATATTTAGAAAGGTGCATAGTTCAGATAAAATAAGTTGACTTGTTGGGGGAGAAAATCATCTGGCAGATTGTATGTAGATAAAAGGCAAAGCTCTTGAAGAAAAGGAGCATGAAAAAGGAGGGCTGAGGACTGAAATGTTCTGCATTAAAAAATTAGAGGAATTCAAAGTTTGTACCCAGTAGTAGGGAAAGAGAAAAAGAGATGCAGAGGAGAAAATGATGGGAATAGATGGAGGGAAAATAAGAAGGAAAAGTTTATCTAGAAAAAAATAAAAAGAAGGAGAAAGTCAAGCAACATAGTAAGGAAAATATCGTGTAGAATGGAAGAGGGTCTTCTCTGTGCAGGAGTCTGTATGTATGTACAATTTATGCATATCTTTCTGATTCCTGTTAACTATGGGATAAATTCTATAGTTTCCTTTGTAAAAATATATTGCTGGAATTTCCCAAAGTCTTACAGCATCTTAAAGTAGACTAAATTTAATTATTGCATGGTATGACATTACAGAATTCTCACAATGTATTTAACCTAAATACCATTTGATCATAGTAATACAATTTTAGCTATTAGTAATACAATTTTAGGTATTATAAATTCTAAATTAGTGAGCATGTTCAAAAATGAATGTCATCACATAGCTTGATTATTCCTAAAATAGGAATTACTGTAACATATATTTCAAGTGTTTTCCTTAATTGAGATCTGTCAGTGAGATAATGGATATTTTTAGGACCCTTTAGTTTATACTTCCAAATTTTCCTTTGGCCTACGAATTTTGCATTATTTCACACTTTATCCGGGTGCATAAGTTTGCCTCCTAGGGTACTCAAACTTCACCAGGTAGTAGATGCTTTTTCTTTTCTTAGCCAAAAAAAAAAGTCTCAATGTACATTTAAGGTGCATTACTGTGAACAATGTTTGCATGTTTATAGACTATCTGTATATCTATATTTTTTCTTTAATGAATTGCCTTGCAAAGAAAAACTTTTTCTCTCCTGGGCGCAGTGGCTCACGTTTATAATCCCAGCACTTTGGGAGGCCGAGATAGGCGGATCACGGGGTCAGGAGATAAAGACCAGCCTGGCTAACATGGTGAAACCCCGTCTCTACTAAAAATACAAAAATTATCCGGGTGTGGTGGCGGGCGCCTCTAGTCCCAGCTACTCAGGAGGCTGAGGCAGGAGAATGACGTGAACCACCTGGGAGGCGGAGCTTGCAGTGAGCCGAGATGGTGCCACTGCACTCACCCTGGGTGACAGAGTGAGACTCCATCTCAAAAACAAAAACAAACAAAAAAAAAAAAAAAGAAAAACTTTTTCTCCTGTTAGATGTAGTGTAAAAGTCTTTTAGCTATTAAGATGATCAATAGTTTATGTATAAGATGTGCTATAATGTAGCCCAACATTATCATATTTTTTATTTTGATATGGACATATACTTTCTTTTTTATGTTTATGCTATCCAAACTTCTAATATTTTTCCTTAGGCTTTTTATCACTCCTTGCATATTTAAATGCAAGGAGTTGCATTTAAATATTAAATGTTTCCTCCTAATGTTATTATTTAATTCTTATTTTATTAATATATGTTTAATATATCTAAGACTTCTTTGGCTAAATGGTGTAATATGACAATATAGCTATATCATTTTCCAAATTGCTAAATCAGTAGTCCAAATAATGTTTATTACAGAAGCTTCTTCTTCACTGATTTTTTAAATACTCCAAATTATACATGACATTTTAATGCATTATATTAGTATTTTACTATTCTTATGCCAGCATCTCACTGTTAAAAATATCTTAACTCTCCTTTCTCCAACAATAGTAGAAGAAGGGAAACATAGTGGGAGAAACTTAGAAGTTACACAAATAGAAAAAAAAATTGGTGTTCTGGTAAATATTAGCATATGATTATAGGAGGAGGGAGTTTCCATGATCAAATGATATTAAGGGTGTATACTAAATAAATCCAAAATTCTACTTTGGTATTTCTGGAGAACGTAATGTGGTTTATCTCTTTTAAATAATTAATATGCTGTGTTACATTAATCAATTACCTAATATAACATTTCTTACATTCCTTAAATGAATATATTTGGTTATTTTGGATTATTTTGAATAATCTATTACACTAAATTGGCTAGTATGCTATTTAGCATTTTATCTATTTTGTAAGTAAAATTGGCATGTAGTTGCCTTTATTGTCTATCATTTAGTAGAGGAGCCATACCATCTTATTAAAATAAATTTGAGATGTCTTCAATCTATGTATACTTAGTAGATATAGCATAGAAACTAATAAATTGATATTTTGAACTTACTTTTTATTCTGCTATCTCTTTAATTTCTTATTTACCCTAAGTTTCCTTTTAGAAATCTAAATTTGTACAGGCAGATAATTATATTTTCACCTTTTTTTAATTTTTTAAATCACTATGCTTTAGAGCAATAAGCAAACAGTCCATAAGAAAGCTAACCAGGCTGGGCACGGTGGCTCATGCCTGTAATCCCAGCACTTTGGGAGGCCAAGGCAGGTGTATCACGAAGTCAGGAGTTCAAGACCACCCTGGCCAAGATGGTGAAACCCTGTCTCTACTAAAAATACAAAAATTAGCCAAGTATGGTGGTGGGCGCCTGTAATCCCAGCTACTCGGGAGACCGAGGCAAGAGAATCGCTTGAACCTGGGAGGCGGAGGTTGCAGTGAGCTGAGATCATGCCACTGCACTCTAGACAGTAAGAATCCAACCCCCCCCAAAAAAAAAAAACCGTAAAGGAAGAAAGCTAATTAATATGCGGTAGTTCTTTGTATTTGGCTTATGCTTTTAATAAGAATGGCTCTATTCTCTTATTATTCACATAACATTAAGTAATTAAATAAATATTATTTACATGAATTAAAAGCATACAGTAATATATTGGATGTTCTTAACTGATCAAGGGCTATACTATTTTACCTATAGTTCATCAAGGTTATTTAAAAATCCTTGAACTACATCAGCATCTAGTGATATTTCAATTTCTCTAGCATACATTTTAAGAGTAGCTTCTCTGGAGCCAAAATACCTGGGTTTAAATCCTAGCTGGACCACTTTGTCATTTGTGTGACCTTGTGTAGTTTGCTTACCCTCTTTTTGTCATTATTTGCATGTCTGAAAATAGAATGATCATAAAAGTACCTACCTCACAGGATTATTGTGAGAATTAAGGCTGTGTGTGTGTGTGTGTGTGTATATATATAAATATAAAATATATAAAATATAAAATATATATATATTTTTATTTTATTTCACTTTAAGTTCTGGGATACATGTGCTGAACATGCAGGTTTGTTACATAAGTATACAAGTGCCATGGTGGTTTGCTGCACCTATCAATCTGTCATCTAAGCACTTAAAACCATACCTGTCCCATAGGAAGTGCTAAACGTGTTTATTATTTTACTCTGAGATGTATTAAAGTGATTGATTTTATTTTCTAATATTAAATTCTTATACAAATGTATCTGTATACGTAAACCAATAGGTATTTTAGGTATCTTAGTGTTCACCTTCCTTTTTTTTTTTTTAGTTTTTTTTCAGTAGAGATGGGGTTTCACCATGTCGGCCAGGTTGGTCTCGAACTCTGGACCTCAAGTGATCTGCCCACCTCAGCCTCCCAAAGCTGTGGGATTACAGGTGTGAGCCACCACACCCAGACTCACCCTCCTTATATTGTTTTCCTTAGTGTAGTTGGACTAATATTTTATTTATAGGCTATGGCAAGTTTTGACTGTGTATACTACTTGATGTGTCCATATGTTATGTCCTGTGGTCCAAATTTGTAGAATCTAATTTGTGTAGTTTTTTATTGCTGCCACTAAAAATGACTGCAAACTTATTGACTTAAAAAACAGAAATTTATTATCTAAAAAGTTTTGCACTTCAGTATTCTGACATGAGTCACACTGAACCAAAATCAAGGTATCAAAAGGGCTGTCTTCTTTTCCGGAGGCTCAAGGGAAAAATCTGTTTTCCTGAGTTTTTCAGTTTCTAGAAGTTGCCTCTCTTTCTTGGTTTGTGGTCTCTGTTATTCCTCCTTAATGACACTTCTGTCATCACATCTCTTTCACTGACTACAGCCAAGAAAGGTTCTTCATTTTAAGGATTCATGTAATTAGGTTGAACCCAGGTGGATAATCCAAGTTAATTCCCCTACCTCAAGGTCCATAATCTTAATCACATCTGCAAAGTTCTTTTTTGTTTTTTACATGTAAGTTTACAGATTCTTAAGATTAAGAGATGGACATCTTAGATTATTAGTTCTGCCTTTAACTGTATATGGTATTTTAAACATCTCCTTACCTATCAAAACTGTACTCCTTACTTAAAATCTCTTGATACCTCATTTACTAATGCTTAGCTGATTCTCTCACTCACACCCTCTAAAATTCTTCCAAAGATTTTGTAACTACCTTGTTTAGTTGTTGCAGTTATTATGTACAAACTTCTGAGATGACTTTACTATGGCTTCTCTGTTTCAGAGACATTTCAGGTGGCACTTTTCAATTATTTCCTAGATACAGACATTAAACAGGAAAAATCATTTCAGTGTACTTTCTGATATTTTCCCTCTCCCCTGGCAGTTAAATTATTTCATGTCTAAATCATTCTTCTTCACCTAGTAACAATTAAAATATCTCCCTTTTTCCTCCCTGTATTGATCTGCTTGGGTTGCCATAAGAAAATTCCTTAGACTGGGTGGCTTAAGCAACATAGATTTATTTCTCACAGTTTTGGAGGCCAAGAAGTTCAAGATCAAGCTGCCAGCAAGGTAGGTTTCATTCTGAGGGCTTTTTCCTTAGTTAGCAGATGGTCACGATTTTTCTATGTGCTCATATGACCTTTTCTACATGCATTCAGAGAGATCTCTGGTGTCATATAGAAAATAAAATTTTTCAATATAAATAAGAGTCAACAAACATAAAAAGCAATAGGCTTACATCAACACCTCTCTAATTTTGGAATATAGAAGAACAATAGGTGATGGAAATAAAATACTTTTTATACTATAATTATATCTTCATTAGGACAAAAATCTCTTTAGCTTCCTCATGTACCCTTATAATCTATTCATATGATAGCATTAATAAAGCCTGTTTAAAATGATTACAAAGGTAAACAAATATATAGAATATATGTGGAAATAACAATACACCAGGAAAATAAGAACAGGAAGTATTTTTATAAAGAATCATATAGAATTTCTAGAAATAAAAATATGAGGATAGAAATTAAAAACTCATTTTATGTGCTAGAAATCAGATTAGACACAGCTGAAGAGAGAATTTGTTAACTGGAAGATACATTTGAAGAAATTACCCAGTATAAAGAAAAAAATAAAGAATTTAAAATATAGAAGAGTCATGGATGGTAAAATAAGAAAAAATAATATATGCCCAACAGAAATACAATATATGTCTAAAAGTATAAAGGGAAAATACAGAGAATGGTGGGAGGCAATGCTTCCGGGTAACAGGTGAGAATTTACCAAAGTATTTGAAAGAGTTGAATACTCAGATTCAAGAAGTACAAGTGACCCTTATACAACATGGGTGTGACCCATGTGGGTTCATCTATACATGAATTTTCTTTGCCCTTTGCCATACCTGACATGACAAGTGTATTTTACAAATGATTTTTAAATAACATTTTCTTTTCTCTAGCTTACTTTATTATAGGAATACAGTATATGTACCTATAACATCCAAAATATGTGTTAATTGACTGTTCATGGTATCTATAAGGCTTCCAGGTCAACAGTAAGCAACTAGTAGTTACGTTTTGGAGGAGTCAGAAGTTATATAGATTTTCAACTGTGTAGAGGGTTGGCACTCCTAATCCTAATGCTGTTCAAAGATCAGCTGTATAATATGTTGTAAGTAACTTTCTTTATTTTTTTCATTGCTTTCCACTGTTTTAAGAATTCAGACTGAATAACAATATTTAATTTATTTAAAATCTCAGTCAGACTGGTAAGTATACTATTCTAGTGGCAAATTAGTAAATATTGAAGCTTTTATTCTGGCACCGTTTCATTTTGTTTTCATATTGGTGCTATGTAAAGCTATGGGATTACTGTTGGGGAGGGGGTAGATGTGAAAAGGCCATTCTATTGATTAATGAACTTTTATTCCAGAATTTGTTTCTCCACATTGGAAACCAAGCTTAACCTGTATTTAATAAGCAAGCAGAGTACATTTGAAAACACAGGGTGTACTCTAAGAGAGACCAAAAAAAAATTGATGAAGGAATCTTCTACTTTAGATGGAGTTCAAAACAAGATAAAGTGAAACAGAATTTATGTGACCAATATAGTACCAACTATCAGAGCCTAAATCCAGTTATCAGGCCAATATCACACATTTAAATTGCCGGTTTCATAGTGGTAATTTAAGGTGTGTCCCACCCCCTAGAAAACACTATAGTTTCTAACACTTAACCTAGTTTATAAAGTCTTTTCATTGTGTTTACATATGACAATAACATAATTAGATATAGAATTGCTAAACATTTCTCCACAGGTAGTATTTATGCTTTTGTCTAAATAAATTTAGTTACAAAGAAAAGGCCAGTGGCATCATATATTTGGTTTTTCATGTTATCTTTATTTTTATTTCCAGTAGGTGTGTATAATTTTTCAGTTCTTAAATATAAGAAATGAAAGTAATATGTCTCCATAGAGTATATTTATTTCAGCTTTATATAAAACAATACCTTTTTTTAATCCTTAGACTAAGTATTCAAATGCAAATATGTATTCTTTTCGGCTTTGTTTTAGAAATAATTTTATTATGCAAAATTCATGCATATAAAAATATATAATGTTCATGTGAAATACAAAGAATGATATTGAGCTAAATATTCATACAGAAAACACCTTGTTCAAGAATTATAACAGTAATAGTACATTGGCTTGCAAGACGTTGTAATAAAATTGCACTCCCTGAGAAAATCACTATTCTGAATATAGTATTCACAATTAATTTGCCTTTAAACATTTTAACAACATATGGATGCATTTCTAAATAAATATGGTTTATTTTTGCATAGTTTTTAGCTTTATATGAATGGAAACATTATAAGTTCAGTATGTTGCTATCTACTATTTTTACTAAATCTTATATTTGTAGTAGTTATATTAGTTTGTTTTCACATTGCTATGAAGAAACACTTGAGACTGGGTAATTTATAAGGAAAAAGGTTTAATTGACTCACAGTTCCACATGGATGGGAAGGCCTCAGCAATCATGGCAGAAGGCACCTCTTCACAGGGAAGCAGGAGAGAGGATGGGTGTCAAGCAAAGCAGGAAGCCCCTTATAAAACCATAAGATCATGAGAGAACTATCACTCACACTCATGATAGTGAGAACGCTCACTATGAAAACAGCATGGGGGAAACCACCCGCATGATTCAATTATCTCCACCTGGTCCTATCCTTGAAGCAAGGTGATTCTTACAATTCAAGGTGGGATTTGGATGGCAACACAGAGCCAAACCACATTATTGCCCCACTGGCCCTTCCCAAATATCATGTCCTTATATTTCAAAATGCAGTCATTCCCTTCCAACAGTCCCCCATAGTCTTCACTCATTTCAGCATTAACCCAAAAGTCCAAGTCCAAAATCTCATCTGAGACAAGGCAAGTATCTTCCACCTATGAGCCTGTAAAACCAAAAGCAAGTTAGTTACTTCCTAGATACAATGGGGGTACAGGCACTTGGGTAAATACACCCATTCCAAATGGGAGAAGTTGGCCAAACCAAAGCTGGTACAGGTCCATGCAAGTCTGAGATCCAATAGGTCAGTAATTAAACTTTGAAGTTCCGAAATGATCTCCTTTGACTCTATGTCTCACAACCAGGTCACACTGATGCAAGAGGTAGGCTCCCACAGACTTGCACAGCTCCACCCCTGTGGCTTTCAGGTTACAGTCCCCCTCCCAGCTGCTTTCACAGGCTGGTGTTGAGTGCCTGTGGCTTTACCAGGCACCCAGTACAAGCTGTCAATGGATCTACCATTCTGGGGTGTGGAGGATGGTGGCCCTCTTCTCACAGCTCCACTAGGCATACCCCAAATGGGGACTATGTATGGGGTCTCCAATCTCACATTTCCCTTCCACTCTGCTCTAGTAGAGGTTCTCCATGAGGGCTCCACCCTCCAGCAGACTTCTGTGTGGACATCCAGGCCTTTTCATACATCCTCTGAATTCTAGATGGAGATTCCCAAACCTAGATTCTTGACTTCTGTGCACCTACAGCCCCAACACCATGTGTAAGTCACCAAGTCTTGAGGCTTGCATTCTCTGTTCTCTGAAGAGCAATGGCCCGAGTTATACCTTGGCCCCTTTTAGCATGGCTGAAGCTGAAGCAGCTGTACTGTAGCGCACCATGTCTCAAGTCTGCACAGAGCAGAGGGGCCCTGGACCCAGCCCAGGAAAACATCTTTCCCTCCTAGGCCTAAGAGCCTGTGATGGGAGGGGCTGCTGTGAAGGTCTCTGACATGCCCTGGAGACATAATCTTCATTGTCTTGATGGCTAACATTCAGCTCCTTGTTACTTATGCAAATTTCTGCAGGCTGCTTTAATTTCTCCTCAGAAAATGGGTTTTTCTTTTCTGTCGCATCATCAGGCTGAAAATTTTCCAAACTTTTATGCTCTGCTTCCCTTTTAAACATAAGTTCCAATTCCAAACCGTATCTTCGTGAATGCTAAAACTGAATGCTTTTAAGAGAACCCAAGTCACCTCTTGAATGCTTTGCTGCTTAGAAATTTCTTCCACCAGATACCCAAAATCATCTCTCTCAAGTTCAAAGTTCCACAGATACCTAGGGCAGAGGTAAAAAGCCACCAGTCTCTTTGCTAAAGCATAGCAAGAGTCACCTTTACTCCAGTTCCCTACAAGTTTATCATCTCCATCTGAGATCACCTCAGCCTGGACTTCATGGTGCATATTACTATCAGCATTGTGGTCAAAGCCATTCATCTTGTCTCTAGGAAGTTCCAATCTTTCCCACCAATTTCTGTCTTCTAAGCCCTCCAAGTCTCTAGGAAGTTCCAAACTTTCCCACATTTTTCTGTCTTCTTCTGAGCCCTCAAAACTATTCTAATCTCTGCCTGTGACCCAGTTCCTAAGTCACTTCCAAATTTTCAGGTATCTTTATAGCAGCACCCCACTCTGCGGTACCAATTTACTGTATTAGTTCATTTTTACACTGCTATGGAGAAACACTGAGACTGGGTAATTTATAAGAAAAAGAAGTTTAATTGACTCCTGTTGCACACGGCTGAGGAGGCCTCAGGAAACTTACAATTACAGCAGAAAGCACCTCTTCACCGGGCAGCAGGAGAGAGAAAGAGTGCCGAGCAAAGTGGGAAGCCCCTTATATAAGTATCATATCTTGTGAGAACTCACTCACTATCAGGACAAAGGTATGGGGGAGACTGCCCCCATGATTCTATTATCTCCACCTGGTCCGGCCCTTGACAACTGGCATTATTAAAATTCAAGGTGAGATTTTGGTGAGGACACAGAGCCAAACCATATCAGTAGTCTTCCATTTAGAGTTGCATCTCTGTATCTACATGATGTCTTTTCACTATACACATATATTTCCATTTATTTCTGCATTCAAATGTTGAACAAATTTTTGTGTTTGTTGTTATAAACAATATTTCTAATAACATTCTTTCATATATCTCCTTATGTAACATGCAAGGTTTCACTAGGGTATGTATCTAGAATTTTGAGCATCTTTTCATGTTTTTTAACTGTTTATATTTCCTTTTGTGTAAAATGTCTACTAATGTCTTTTCTCTTTTTTGATTATGTTGGGATTTTTTCCTAATTGCTTCTTAAAACAATTGCATAATGCTTTTTGCCTAAGTCTATTCTGACTGATATTAACATGGCTATAAATATTTCTTTCATGTATTCATGTAATATCTATATATCTATATATACTATTTATATTATTCTGTATATATATACACATATATACTTATTAAACTATTATTTTAGTAATTTGTATTGTTTTTGGTAGTCTATCTAGACATTTACAAATAATGACAGTTTTTATATTTTCCACACATTTGTACCATTTATTTTTACTTTTGTTTTTGGGTTACTATGTTGACATCAAAATGCAATAAAATAAAGAACAGAAATGAGTAAATATGAGTATTCTTGTCTTACTCCTATCTTAATGGAAATAAATTTAACATTTCAACATTGCTATACTACTTGATACAGGATTTTGATATATATCTTTTTCAGATTAAATAATTTCTCTTCTTTCCCTGGTTTTCTAATAGGTGGTTTCTGTTTTACTCATTTACCATAAGTTGGTATTTACTTTATCCAAATGTTTTCCTCTGCATCTTTTATTAATTAAGTTCTTCTTTTGCTTTTAAAATTGTTCAGATAGAGAATTAAGTTGATGACTTTTCTAATGCTAAATCCATTTGCATTTCTGGGACAAATCCTACATGGTTTACATATTTTATACTTTGATGGATTTAATTTGCTCATCTTTATTGGTTTTTGCATCTGGGATCATGATTGATATTGGCCTACGATTTTTCTTTCTTATATGTTTCTTATTTGATTTTGGTTTTAATATTATATCAGCCACACACATATTTGCATGTGTGTTTGTTTTGGGAAGTGCCCTTTCTTGTATTGTCCTCACAATTATTGGTTTATTTTTGCTATTAACTACATTTGGTATTGTTTAATTATTATTTGGTTGAACCACCCTGTAAAACTTTCTAGCTTTCTTTATGTGCTGATTTCTATTACTATTTTAATATCTTTAAGAGTTATAGGACCATGTAAGTATTCTATGTCTTCTTGAAGCTCAATTAGAAAGCTACATTTTGCTTTCTAATTGACATTAGAAAGGAATATGACAAATTAGTATACATTTTCAAATTTCTAATTCACTGGCATAAACGTTGTTCATAATATTTTTTAACATCATCTAAATCTTTACTGTATTTACTCCTGCTTTCTTAACTGGAAATGTGCCTATTTGAGCCTACATTCTTTTTATTTTAAAAAGTCTTGCTGAAGATTTAACAATTTTGTTAGTCTATTCAAACAACATATTCTGGCTTTTTTGATCATGCTAAATGTTTCATTTCTGACATCAATTTTATTTTAATATTTTCTAGTTTTTATTTTTTAAATTCTTCTATTTAGGATTGTTTTTTCTGTTCTCATTATTGGAATTTGATTGCATAACTTATTTATGTTTGCCCTATCATAATATAAATATCTTAAGGCTACAATTTTTTTACTGTTAACTTTAGCTATACCCACTAAGTATTGATATATGAATTTTTCATTGATTTTTAAATATTGTCTAATTTTATTTTAGATAATAGATTCTTGAGATGTTCTTTTTAAGACCATTTTTATTTCTTCTAAACTATATCTTTTAAGTTAACTTGGGTTTGAATATTATTCAGTTTTTTTCTAGACATGAAGAAAAGGAAATACACTATCCTAAGGAAGATGAAAAATCCTGGAGGAAAAGAATACTTGGAAGAGTTCTAGTTCAAAGTCAGATATTGTGACTTGAAATATCAGAATCCTAGACAAATGGAAATGTAAAGAAGGTAGACAGAACTCAGAGGGAAATACAGGCCCGAAATATAAGTTTAAAAGTTGTTGGCATAGAGATGTATTTAAAACCCCCAGGAATTAATATGATCTTCCGGGGAGAGAGTGAATGATTAGAACATAAGAGGGCCCAGGACCATAGTCTAAGGAATCCCAGCATCTAGACATCAGGATATTTCAAGTGATAAAGTGGAGGTAGCTTAATTGATAAGGTGAAGAAACATACTTGTTAAGCAGAGTAGAGAAATAATGTGGTAGCTGAAGGGGGACATTGGTCAAAATTTTTGTTTCGCCTTTTTTTTAAGGAGGAAAGTACAAGAGCATGTTTGAAGGCTGATAAAAAGAATTCTGGAGAAAGAGAGTGATTGAAGACAAGAGAAATGAGGAAAAATCTAGAGAAGTAAAAATGCAAGGGAACCTAAAATAAAAAGCCTGACAATAACGGATGTTGTCAAGGAGGTGAGACAACCAAATTTTAATTTAATGTTGGTGGGAATATAAAGATAAGCATTAATTTTGTAAAAAGGCCCATCAGTTTCTTATAAAAGTAGCAATATACCTACTCTATTATCAGCAATTCCATTCAGATATTTTTCCAAAGGAAATATAATCATATGTCCATAAAAAGAATGTTCAAGGGGGGTGAGGGATAAAAGACTACATATTGGGTAGAGTGTACACTGCTTAGGTAACAGATGCACCACGATCTCAGAAATTACCACTAACCAACTTATCCATGTAAGAAAAAGCCACCTGTACTCTCAAAACTATTGAAACTAAAATCATAAATAACAAAGAATGTTCATAGAAGTTTTATTTATAATACCTAAAAACTAGAAAAAGTCCAAGTGCCCATCAATATGAGAATAGATAAACAAACTTCACTATATTCAGAGAATGTAATACTATTCAGCCATAGAAAGAAACAAACTACTGATACATTTAGCATGGATGGATCTCAAAAAAATGATTTGCAGAGCGAAAGAAGCCACCCACAAAGGAGTACATACTGTATTATTCCATTTTATATGAAGTTCTAAAACAAGCAAAACTAATCTGTATTGAAGAAACAGAACAGCAGTTTCCTCTCTTGGGGTGGAAGTAGAATATTGATTAGAAACGGGATGAGGGAATTTTCTGGGATACAGGTAGTGACCTACCTGATAGCGGGCTGGGTTATACAAACATATGCATTCATCAGAACTCAGCAAGTATATATGTCTTGTGTATGTAAAATGTACTTGAAGAGAAAAAAATATGGTAAACATATATTAACCTCTAGTTAATTATAGGCATGCTGATGTATTTAGGGAAAGTGTAATGTCTGCGATTTCTTATAAATGCATTAAAAATTATAAGTTGGATTGATGGCTAGATAATTGGATATGTGATGAAATGTTTATAGTAAAATATCAATGGTAGAATTTAGGTAGTGGCCACATAGATGTTCACCTTGAATCTGTTTGAAATTTTGTATCACAAAATATTGGGAAAATAAGCAGTAAGGAGATAGTGCCTGGAGATTTTTGGTTGGACTGGTTTTTTTTTTTTTTTTTTTTTAATGCCACTGTGAGGGTTTAGATGGAAAAAAAGGGTTCAGAGAAGTGCTGATCCTGAAATGAACCAACACTGACTGAAAAAGAAGAAATGGACATAATTAAGTCTCTTATGCAGGATAAAATTTTTCAGAAAACCCAGTGGCAAAATTATAAGAAATTTCTGCACATTTTCTATTACCCAACTTCTCATCAGTTTGTAAGGTTCTTAAGGGTGTAGCCAACATATATTTTTCTCTGTACACTTGACCTGTGGTGACCATGCAATGACATTTCAATTAATCAAGTGCTCCTCCTCTTCTTCTATCGTATTCCTGAACCATGCAAATGGCCAAAAATCATGATCTTGTAACTGCATAGAGAATCTTCTTTTCGATGTCTTTCAGTGAATTTAAAATCTATTCTTCACTTTAAGGATCTTTTCTTTTGCTCTCTAAATGTTTTGGAGTCAAATGCATCTTCATTTCCTTTTTTGCATGTCCCTCTGACAGCTGATGCAAGCTGGCAGAAGATGAAAAGTATTTAAAGTGTGGCAGCAGGGCTCAGTTCACATAAAGCAATCATCTTCTCCTCCAACACAGTCTTGATCACTCTGAACTATGCTGGTTAAACAAGTCCAATCTCACTATAGTACCTCATACAGGATTTGAATTTTCCTTAGAGGGGGCATGCCCTCATTCATTTGTTTGCATGTTTGCATTTTCTGTGGCAAGCAAGGGTGAAAAAACCAATGAAAGGTGACGGTCATCTCTAATGGAGAAATGCTGGTGTAGACTAACCTGAAATGTGCTGTTCCGGCATCAGGGCAAACCTAAGCATCCTTTATGGAAAAGGAAAACACCACACATAAGAAGCACTGCCATCCCTAAAATGTTCCTTAAATGCAGTGTGCCCTTTATGGGCACACTATATAAACTGGACCAAGAAATCCAAAGCACAATAAATCTTTTTGTTTCCTTCTTTAAATGACAGAAAGTTTCAGTAATGTTCTACCATCCAGGTTGACGAAAAAAAAGTCAAAGCAAAATGAGTTGAAAAGTGGCATGTACATTCAAAATTTAAATTTCTTTCCAGTTCAGCAATGTTAGATGTCATAGGTAACGCAGGGAATACTTATTTAAGTGGTTCATATACTCTTAAAAGGAATCAAGATTAAAATGAGGAGGTGCACATAATAGCATAAAAAGGAGCAAAATCTCAAGCTTTTTTCTAGGTGAAAGATTAGTCATTTAAGTCCTTTGAATCCAGAAAGCAAACAGCAACTGCTATATTTGCTTGCTTTACAAACATGCTTGTTAAAAATAGTTCTCTAGACATTTCTACTCTGTTAAATATCTAACATACACTTTTTTAAAAACCACCCTTTACTCATTAAAAATAAGGAACTTTGAGGTACATTTGATGTGATCAAACATGAGTGGACATATAAACTCAGCTTTAAGTAGCATGACACATCCAGGCATTTAAAAATATGTTTAGAAATTTTAGTACACCTTATATTGAGGAGTTTTGTTTTTATCTTTGGTATTGTTAGTGCTGTTCTAGAGTAGGTTAGTATATTCTTTTATTATCAAACATAAAAACAAATGAGAAAACACTTTTGTTTCAAATTCTGATTTTTTTTCTTCCACATTCTAGTCGTTACTGGTATTAGACACGTAGACATGTAGAAAGATAAGGGACAAGACACAGATAACGCAAATAAAAATTGAACAAAACACAGGAAGATGACATTTACAATGCAGCTGACAAAGCCAGTCACTTCACTTTAAATAATGTGGCAGGCTGCAAAACTATAGTAATTACTAGAATTTCATTTTCATTAACTAATAAACCAAGGAAAACAATTTAAGTATCTGAATGTCATTTTTCAAATGAAAATAAACTGTAAACATTTGAATAACATCACAGCAGGGATAATATACCTAAGGAAATCTATTGAAATATGTTAGTGGATTCATCCTCTTCTATCACATTAAAACTGCAATTGACTGTAAACCTCCTACCACTCTCCACTGAGACTTTAATTGTAAAGATTCCTGTTACATATCATATTAGAATTTAGTTAAAATTGTAGAACACATTATTTCCAATCAGACAGCCAACCATCACTCACAAAGATTTTTAAAAAGGTGATTAATAATTCATCTCAGATAAGGAAAAGATCTATATTTATACCATCTTCTCAGCCACCATAAACTACCTGACAATTGTTCAGTAATGATGCCCAGTAAATTCTTTAAAATGGTAATTTGTCATTCTGTCACTTCATTTGTGACCTAAAATTCCTCACTTGAGGCATCATCAAATAAATTAATCACTTTCCAGGATCCATTTCTCTGTTCTGCACGTTATTATGCCGGGGCTCTCTTGTGTTTCTCTTCATTTACATATATTTAATGGCTGAGCCGTGGTTCACGATGGCACATAACGCACACATCTCATTACAGGTGAAATATTCTAACTGCCACTATCACTGGGAAAGAAAATAACTCTCCCAATTTAATTTTCCTGATGTAAGAAAACCATGATTCTTCACTATGAAATGTTGATGCCATCCATCAGTCACAATCAATAAAATCATCATAGAAGTACGCCTTCTTCAGCATCTTTCCTTCATACTGGTATTATTTGAGGAAGGTAATTAAACTCATAATATGTAATGAATGTAAATGAAGTAAAAATCCTCATATTAGCTCTCTAACTATGCTTATATTACAGCGTTGATTTAAAATATTTTCCCCAACTTATAAATACATAAGACCCAAAAAAAGAGCTATCAGCTGTAAAGACAATATTCATCAATAAATAGAACTAATTTTTAAAGGAGCATTTTAAATGTAAAAGTACCAAGTATTAACTATTTATAGATTTTTCACTTAAAATGATACATTCTCTTTGGATTTGTATATTTCCAAGCTTTCTGAAAATGTAGCTAGTACTTTGGATGTACATGTTATCATGTCACAAAATTAGTGATTTTTTTCAGTAACCTGGTCTACTTGATTCCCGCCATTTAAAGGCTGCAGGTACCATCTGTTCTCAAGTAAGAAATTTTCTTGTTGAACTGGCAATCTCGCCAATCTCTGCCTTAAAAAGCCTATGAAAATGTAGATCAAAGAAGCAGGACATTTTGCAAACAGTGGTTTGGGAATTAGCCCTTCAGAACTATTTCCACGTACTGTAAATATTCATCTCAAATTGCTATCGTATTATTTTTGTAAAGGTAAATAGGGAGTGTTTTAAAGTAAACTAGTGTCACATAAACATCACCCTGACTCTAAGTATGTTACTACTTAATTTAACATTCATTAACTAGTTCTCCCCACATACCTAGGAACATTAATTTCAGGGGAATGGTGCCTTATAGAAGTCCATTTGGAATGAGGATTCCCTTCATTATGAATTCATCATCAAAAGAATGGCGACTTTCTTTATCTTGGAAGTGGTCCCTGTTTGCCTGTTTAAAATAATGCTTGCAAGAGTGTCTAAAATACAAAGTGAAATATTAATTGTACATCTCTGTAACAAAGGAGAAAGTAAGTGAATACCACTGCTCCACAGATGAATGACCTAACTACAATATTGACAAACCATCTACACAGTACTATTTTCTTCCTCATTAATTATCATATAGTTATTTTTAATGGGCATTTATTCAAGAAAAAAAAAGACTGCAAGTGCAGTTTGTATGTGTTTTCATTAACACAGCAGCAGTCTGTTGACCTAAAGCAACACACCAACACTCACAGACCTAGCTGGAAAATAGTGATTGACCACTTTCTGGAGTTTTTGAGGGACTGTCTAAGGTGCATCTGCATTTTGGAAAATGCAATCAGTTCAGACTGAAGCAAGAACTGACAGCTTTCATGGGTGTTCCTATATGAGACTGGACTGTAGTCCCAGATGATCTTCTGGTATGGAATACAGCTCATTGAATCTTCAAGTACACATCAAAGTGACTTGGAATGGCTCATTGTGATGACGGTGATAGGGGATAGAAAATGAACTTCTACCATAATCTGACAAAACAGATACAACTCATGTCCTATAGATAATATTATTAGGATACAGTGGTGTGGATTAGAAGACATAAGCTTGAAAAGTTTTTGGAAAATCTTATAAAAACTATAGACAGATAATGCTAAATGTATTAAAACAGAGGCACTGGGCAGAATATATTAAATTGCTTTAAACAATAGGAAAAAGAGAGAAAAATGCTATTTACGAATCATGAATAAACTCTATGCATTTTAGCAAATTTGGTGCTCTGAAAATTTAATGAACTAAAGTATATTTTAAGAATAGAAAAATGAAGGTGAATAAGGTTCATGGCATGAACAAAGGAAAGAGGAAAGATCCTTGCAAATACAAATGCCTATATTAATTATGTTAAATGTACCACAGAAACTTGTGATTGCCCACATTGTGGAATAATGCGCTTAACAAGACCACACCTTCAATGGGAATAGGAGACTTTTCTTTATTATTTAAATAATCATCTCCTTTTTGCAGAAGCATTCACTCCCCCAGTCATATTTATATTATAATTCTGCTAACAAAAGCTGTCCAAGCTGAGATCCTTTGATATTTTACTCATAGACACCTAGCCATTAACATGTGTACCATAATAATAGCACTAGAAAATATTGTTACTACAATTGGTTGCCTCAAATATTGTTTTCTAAGATCACAGAAAATTTGAGTTAACAGTTAGTAAACAGTTGCTAAATTAATGCTGCTTGGGGACTTCCAAGTAAACTGAAGTTTCTATGGGGCTAATCTTAGTAAACCCAAGGTAGAAAGCTTAGTTTAGCCATCTGTCTATGGCCAAAGGTCAATGTTTATAGACTTAAATAACCAGTTTTGCCTGAGACAAAACACTGGCGAAAATCCGGATTACCCTAGAATGCAAAGCAGTGTACTGGGGCTCAACCAGGCTGTTTGAACCACTTGTTAACTATGTGACTTTGCATAAGTTACTTTTCCTCTTGAGAGTCTCTTTCTCCTGATCTGTAAAATGGGAACTAAAACAAAACAAAAACATAATTCATAGTGTGGCTATCAAAATAAATAAGCAAATGGATGAAAGGGAGTTATAGAGCTTTAAATATTAGGCTAAATTACATTTCTTTTTCTTTGGTGGTGCATTAGTCTGCTAGGGCTGCCATAACAAATTACCCAGACTGGGTGGTTTAAACAACAGAAATGTATTTTCTCACAGTTCTGGAGGCTGAAAGTCCAAAATCGAGGTGTTGGCAAGTTTGGTTTCTCCTGAGGCCCTCCTCTCCTTGGCTAGCAGACAACCACCTTTATGTTCTATACTTATACAAATTTTTCTCTGTAAGCTTTATTTTCCCGTGTCACTTTATTTTCTCATAAGGACACCAGTTATTGGATTAGGACCCTACCTTATGACCTTATTTAACCCTAGTTTTCTCTTTAAAGGCCCTATCTCCAAATACTCATATTGGGGTTAGACCTTTAACATCACTTAGGCATTTGAGGCAGATTAGACATCCTGTCCTTTTGCAGTTAGGTAGGAACTTGTGGCTAGTTTTGGCCAATTGGTCATGATTCTGTGCAACCATTTTAACTCTTTGTGTGAAGCTCTCCAACACTCTATTTTCCTGCCATAGTGATCTGATCTTGAGTTGAGATGAAGTTTCACACGACCTCATGAGGCAGCCCAGTCAGCTGGGTCTCTACATGGAGGAAAACTACCTGAGGTGACTCAAAACTGCAGCAGACTTTGCAGGCCCAAGAAATAAACCCTTATTTTGATAAACCACTGTAGAAGGCATGTCCTAAAGTGAACCCTGATGAGATGTGCCCTTATATCATCTATTCTCATTGAATGTAGGCAAAACCAACAATTTGCTCTTACCAAGAGAACATAGCAAAGGTAAGTGGATGGTCAACTCCTTGAATAGGTTATGTCACATGGCAAAGATAATGGGATGTCATACCCATGACCGTATTATGCTGTTAGAACAGACTCTGTCTTACAGACTACAGGAGAAAGACTCTCTTGGTGCCCTTAGAAGCTGCTATGATATGAATTGCCCAAGGAAAAGGGCACACAGCAAGAAACTGTGAAAGGTCTCTAGGTCCTGAAGGCATCCCCTAGCCAATAGACAGCAAAAGAACTGGACTCTTAGTCTTAAAATTTTAAAGAACAGAATTCTACCAACAACTATGTGAACTTGGAAGAGGACCTCAATCTCTCGAAAGGAACACAGCCTGGTTAACTTCTTGTGTGTAGCTTTGTGCCATTCTGAGCAGAAAACTCTAGTAAATTGTGCTGAGACTTCTGATTCATTAACACTGTGAGATAACAAATGTATTTCACTTTGAGCTAATGAATTGGTAACAATTTGTGGGCTGTAGTAGAAATGTAATACAACTGCTGAGATTTGGAGGCTTTTTGCCTTTACAGAAAAGACCTGTCTTGACTGGCATTGGAACAATTGGTTAAGGTGAAAGCAATAGGGGCTGGTTGCCAAAGCATTTGGATAGAGGGTGGGTTGAACAGTCACAACCAATGTGAGTACAGAAGATTGGACTGATACCACTCAGAAGCATGTCACACACATATCCTACCATTACTAGTCTCTCACTTGCATTTGTGTTTACTGGAAAATGTGAAGAGACATACTTCTTGAATTTCAAGATATCACAAAGTTTAGAGGGTTATCATAAAGATTGGATTTCAAAAATAAGATCTGAGGATACCTATAAGTATAAATCTAACAAATATCAATTAAAATGAGACAAAAAGTAGGCTCGTTTTTACCAAATCCTGCTCTAAACTTTAACAACTACAACTACTTAATTTGCACACCATGAATTCAACTGCTCCTCTTACCTAATATAAGAGGAGTAAACCTGAAACAATCATCTTTCATTCTGGAATATTTGACACCACATTTAATCTGATGTCATCCTCTTTCCTCTCTTTAGTATCTTCAACAAAAGACATGTATTAAAGACCATGCGGGCTTATACACAGAATAAATAACAGAACAATCCCTGCATATGGGATGCTTTACATCTAAGATACTCCTTTGCACTCATTGAAAAGAAAAGATGGATATAGTTAAAATACAGTAATGAGTTGCATAACGATGCTTTGGTCAACCATGGACCACGTATATATGACAGTGGTCCCATAGATTATAATATGGTAGTTTTTTACTGTAGGTTTTCTATGTTAGATATGTTTACATAAACAAATACTTATCACTGTGTTACAATTGCATAGAGTACTCACTACAGTAACATGATGTACAGATTTGTAGTCTAGAAGCAACAGGCTATACCATATAGTCTAGGAGTGCAGTAGGCTATACCATCTAGGTTTGTGTAAGTACACTCTAGGATGTTTGCGCAATGACAAAATCACCTAATGATGTATTTCTCAGAATGCATCCCTGTCATTAAGGGACACATGACTGTAGTGAAATACACAATTCTTAAGCATGCAAGGAACTAAATTCTCTAAAGCTTAGAAAAGGGCTGGCTGATGAATCACAAAATGGGATCTTAAAGCATGACAAATTCAGAGTCTTTGTTTGCTTGTTTTTGTTTGGGGGTTGGAACACCAAACAAAACATCAGAGACAGCCCTGTTACTTCAAAAAGGCAACATCACAATAGAAATAATAAAGTGCAATATTTTCTCTACAGTATGTAGAACATCAACAAGTACATTAAGTAAATAATGTCTCTTATACACATTGCCATGGGAATCCATGATAAGAAAGCTCATGGTATCTGTTTGTGTATAAGCTTAATAATATTCTCTACTGTCCAATAGAATATAAACACAGACCTCATTGAAAGCATGGTACTGTCTCGTTTAATCTTTGATTTTTTGTTTTTGAATGATTTTATAATACCTCATTCAAAAATGCTAAAGTGGCTTCCTTTTTTTCCTCTTTTGACAATGGATTGCAATAGGTACACTGAGTTCTATATCAAGGACTCTAGGCTGTCTATATTGAAACATTTAAAAGGGAGAAGTTGTTTATTGTGAATAATGCTGCTGTAATTCAGATGGGCAGTGGGTATGTGAACTTGAGCATTTTCAGTGAAACGATGCCCAGTAAATACACGAGCATTTTTTCAGCTCTGTATATTTTGCATAATTGGATGGAATGGAACTGACAAGTACAACTAACTAATTCCAAAGTTTCTCCTAATTAAGTCATTTTAGTTCTAGAGAGGAAAACTTAAACCCTGAAATGTGGTCTCCCTGTTTTTCTTGCTACACAATATAGTAAGGGTTTTTTTTTCTTTTAAATTATTAACATCATCATTTGCTGTTTTGGTGTTCTGTGGTACTCAATTTCAATGACAACAATTAGTAGTAGATGTGCATTTGTTCCTCAATGCTGGGAATTGAATTTTTTTTATAAGCACATCCTGTTTTCAGTAATTGGATATACCACCAAGGAGTAAAACAAAAGATGAAACACCCTTCAAAGGAAGACAAATGGAATTAATATTCCAACCGGGTAATTACAATCCACGAGCCTAAAAAACTCTTGTCCTTTCCTTTTCAGTACCAGATTATTGTGCAACATGGCTCTGCTCTGTTACACTTAAAGCCTACTTTCTTACACCAAACACAAGAATGCTTTTCAAGTTTGGGTTAAAATAATTTATTTTAATGTTTAGAGGAATGAGTTCTTTGACTTTTTTGGAATTTTCTGGCAAAATACAGCAAAAGAACTAATTTTTCTCAGTGTTCTTGCTGCTCCTATCTTAATTTAAGGTTCAAATAATATGCATCCTTTACATGACACAATGTAACATGTAAGATTTATTTTGCTGAATATAAGTGTGGAATTAATGTTAAGAATATGGACAGGAGTCATACGAACTTGGTTCAAATCTTAATAATGTCATTTGTTAGCAGCATGAAGCACAACCCTGGGAAAGTTACTTAAACATTCTTAGTTTTTGCCTATGCACAATAGTAATAGTTTTTATCTTATTGTACATAATAATAGTAGTTAACCTTTGTGAGCATTTAATATGCATCAATCACAGTTCTAAATCTTTACACATATATTGAGTCATTACATGAACCACTTGGAATAGTTTCTGGTATATTCCGAGCACTCAATAAGTGTTAGCAATAATAATGATAATTATTAGTATCAGTAGCAATCCTAATAATAGAAACAGATGTAGTAGAGTTCTTACCTCATTGTAATACCGTTTGTTGTTACAGATTACAAGCCAGGCTCTTAATCTAAAGGGTGTTTCAAAGGTTCTCTTTCAGTTCTGGTAAGAAATTCAGAGAATATGTTATGAATACATATCAAGGAGAATGAAAATTTCACATTAAATCCTTAATATTTTTAAACTGACTTAAAAATATACTATGTATTGGCACAAAGTAAGTTTCATATAGGTAAGTATAGGAAAGCAATCTGGAGAAAACATAGATTGTAATGTCAGTTCTGAAAATTAATAGAGCCTTACTGAAATACTGAACACTTGTCAACTCTCACCTTTTCTATTAAAAATACAGCTTTTGTGATGATGGGGAGATGCTGGGTGTAGGAATAAAAATTGAAAATGTTAGGGTGCCCTTCTTCCCTATGAATATTACAACTGCTCTGTCTTTGGACCCAAAAGGCCTGACACCTCTTAAGTGGGAATAGAGTAAGAAGCAACATATCACATGCATACACCTTTGTGCATGCTCACAAGTGTATCCACTGCACTCATGAGCACATTTTCTCCCTAGTTCACTCACTTATTCCCTGGAGAGAAAATTTACTGGAATAAATTTGTAATCTCATACATAACTCTCTTTTGAAACTGTTAAAGGGTATCAATAATTATAAGTTTTGCCATCTATTTTAAAGTTAAGTCAGCATTTTGTTGTTCTTTGATATTTTTAAATGTCAAATAAACACATGCTTCTTGTTAAAAAATAAATCAGTTCAGTAGGACGTAAAGTAAAAGAGCTAAATCCTCCATTCTACTCCTTTGAAGGAACCATTGCTGATGATAGATTGGTTTACATTTTTGCAGGTATCTTCTAAACAAAAACAAATACATTCATACACACAGATTTTTCTACAAATTAAGAATATAAACACATCATTCTATGACTTGCTTTTTTCTCGACAACATATGACTATCCTTTCATGACAGTGTTCATAGGTTTCTTTTAACAAATATTTGAGTACTCTACACACATTGTGACACAAAACAAAATCTGGAGCTTACATTAGATAGGGCGATCAAGAAAGTAGGAGGGGATATTTGAACAGAGGCTTGAATAAATATATGAGCATGCTGTCCCAGGAAATTGATTTATCATTAGGACATATAGATTCATTCCATATTTCTACTATTTCAAGGAACTGAGTGATCAGTCCTATGTCAAATGAATGCTGTGTACTTCTGTGTACTTTATGAGTTTTTCCATCATAAAGATTTCTAAAAGTACAATAGATACACATTTAAAATGTTGACAACTATTTCCAAATTGTCCTCCAGTCTAGTTTTACTAAAGTACCTCAATACCTGACACCAAGACTGTGTAAGTATTCTATTTTCCCAAAACCTTGCCAACCCTGTAGACTGTCACACTTTTTCATTGTTCTGTAAACTTAATGGTGAGAAATGGCATTTCTACTTCCATTTCCCTGATTACCAGTGAGTTTACAGATCTTATCCTATATGTTATGACAATTATTATTGTTTTTTATCTTCACTACCTGTTTATATATGTATTATTTTTTTCCTAAGGGATGTGTAAGAGCTCTTTTTATATCCAATTTCCCTTTTCCATCAGTGGGGTTGAAAACAATTACCCAGTTTAATATTGATCTTTTGACTTTGCTTATGCTGCTTTTCTTAACAATTTTAGAAGTTTTATATAGTCAAAAATTACTAGTTTTCCAAGATCTATTCATCACTGAGTACCTACACTCTTTCCTAGGAGGCAAAGATATAGGATTAAAAACAATGTTTACAGGCCAGAAGCAGTGGCTCACACCTGTAGTTCCAACATTTGGGGAAGCCAAGGCAGGCGGACCACTTGAGCCCTAGAGTCTGAGACCAGCCTGAGTAACATGGCAAAACTCCATCTCTCCAAAAATTATCCCAGTGTGGTGGTGTGCACCTGTAGTCCCAGGTACTCAGGAGGCTGAAATGGGAGAATCACTTGAGCCAGAGAGGTCGAGGCTGCAGTGAGCTGTGTTTGTACCACTGCACTCCAACCTAAGAGACAGAGAAAGACCCCGTCAACAGAATGAGACCCTGTCTCAATTAAATATATATATATATAGACATAGGAATATATATATATGATTCTTATGTCATGCAAAGTATGAGGATAAGCAAGAGAGAGAGTAAAAAGGTGTTAGGGGGAGGGGGCTACTCCTTTATATAAAGCAATCAAGAAAGGCCTCTCTGAGAGGATGATATTTAATAAGACTCTAAAAGAAAGTAAGGAAGTGAACCACATAGGGGAACAACAGATGAAGCAGGATCCTACTAAGTGCATGTGAAGAATGGCAAAGAGGCCAAAGGCTGAGGGGATCCATGAGTGCTAGGCTGTGATGCAAGAAGCCACCGGAAGATTTCGAGCAAAGGGGTGACATTATCTGACTTACATTACAAAGGATCATTCAGGCTGCACCACAAGGAATAGACTATAGGACATGAGAATGAAAGCTAAGTAGAGAGAACATTTATCAGGAAATTGCAATAGCCCAGGTAAGAGATGTTGAGAGCTTCTAGGCATTTGGACACACTTATAAAAAATGTACTTTCATTAAACGTACAAAGACAACCAAGCATGGTGGCTGACACCTGTAATCTTAGCATTTTGGGACCCAGAGGCAGAATTATCACTTGAGCTTCAGGAGTTCAAGTCCAGCCTGGGCAACACAGTGAGACTTTATCTCTACAAAAAATTTAAAACGATTTGTTGAGTATGGTGACACGTGCCTATAATCCCAGCTACTCAGGAGGCTGAAGTGGGGGGATCACTTGAGTCTGGGAGGTCAAGGCTGCAGTGAGCTGTGTTTGCACCACTGCCCTCCAGCCTAAGAGACAGAGAAAAACCCCGTCAAAAAAAAAAAAAAAAGAGTAAAAAGACAGTATTTACAAATATTTTCAATTTAATTTAGGTAACTTATTTTAAAGTAAAAGGTAAAATAACATTTCAGTGCCTTTTTCCCACATTTACCTATGTTAGGATTGAATGTTATACACTTAGATCTTTTATCCACTGAGAACCTATTTTGTAAGGGACAAATTGAACATCAAATTTTAAGGGTTTTTCTCACAAAATGCTTTTATTATAACAATCATTTATTTAAAAATTTATCTCTTCCCCACTGGTGTGAGAACTTTTATTTCTATATGTACAGTCCTTCATCACTTAACAATGGGGATATGTTCTACAAAATACATTATTAGACAATTTCGTCACTGAGCGAACATGCTAGAGTGCATTATACAAACCTAGATGGTATAGCCTACACCTAGGCTACATGGCATAGCCTGTTGTTGTTAAGCTACAGACCTGTGAAGCATATTACTGCACTAAATACTGTAGGCAATTTTAACAAATAGTAAGCATTTGTGTATCTAAGCATTTTTAAGCATACGAAAAGTACACAAAATACAGTATACAAGATTTTAAAAATGGTATACCTGTATAAGGCACTTACCATAAATGGAGCCTGCAGGAATCTGGCTGAGTCAGTGAATGAATGGTGATTGAATGTGAAGGCCTAGAATATTACTGAACACTACTGTAGACTTCATAAACACTGTATATTTAGGCTACACTAAATTTATTTAAAAATAAAGTAATTGAACTATAACATTATGATGACTACACCATCACTAGGAGACAGAAAATTGTCAGCTCCTTTACCTTCTTACAGGATCACCACATTATATGCAATCTATCATTGACCAAAACATCTTTATGCACTGCCTGAGTGTACTTGAATATATTTCTGGACCGTGAATTCATGGATCTCTTTATCACTGTACCAGGAAAATGTTATTCTAATTATTGTTGCTTTTAATATATTTAATATATTTTTAGATTTAGTAAAGACAGTAAAATCATTATCTGATATAAACTAGCTACAACCCTTCTATAAAGCTATTGATGATAACTGATGTTCTCTATCATTATAAACCGAAAAAAGCAGAACATAAGGGCCAAAAAAAATTATGCTTTTTGAAATGTTACTTACATTTCAGAATTGTTTGATGGCCATTAGCACATGTTCCCAAAACTAAATCCTTCCTCTGTCTTCTGTGTTTCTTCATCCTCTGTTTATGAATTTCTATGATCCTCTATGAAAACAAATACTTCATTATGCTGTGTCTTATGTCTAATTGTTTGTGCATCCAAATCTGCAGATTTCCAGATGCTGGAGGACAGAAACACTACATATTAAATTCAAAGAGCTTAGGCATTTAGCATAGTTTGAAGCGAGGCTTTTTAAAAATTTTTGATGAAGTCCAATTTATCTATCTTCTTCTTTTGTTGTTCATATTGTTTTGCTCATATTTTGATGCCATATGTAAACAAACCATTGTCATATCTGCAATTGTGCAGATTTAGCCCTATCTTTCTTCTAAGAGTTTTAGTTTTAGCTCTAGCATTTAAGTCTTTGAAAAACTTTTGAGTTACTTTTATATATGATGTGATAGAATCTAATATCATTCTTTTGTACATGGATATCCAATTTCTCAATATCATTCACCTAAAACACAATTTTTCCCCCATTGAATGGTTTTGGCATCTTTGTCAAAATTAGATTAACTTTCTTTCTCTTTTCAAGATGGTTGACTAGAAACATCAGATACCAGTTTCCTTCAGGAAAAAAAAAAAGTTATCAAGGGGAAAGTGCCGGAGCCTATGAAAAACTCACAGGAAGAAACTGGGGCACAGACAAAGAAGGAAGCACGAGGCTGGCAGGGATTGGCTGGGAACCCAAAGGACTTGTTACTTCATCAAAAGGGTAGGTGTGTGTGGTATTGTCTCCCGTTGCCCCTGCAGTAGACTACCAGTGTCTGAACTAAGAGTGCTCCTCTTTCCTTGAAAACCCAAACATTGCTGTGAGTGTCAATTTAGGGACTTCTTAAGAGCATTACACCAGACTACCAGCTCACGCAAAGTCACTTGCCCTCCCGCTAGATCCAAGCTGTGGTGGTGAGTGCTATACTTTGAGTACACAGACTGGGGGACTGTGTCCAACTCAGGAAACCTCAGCCCTTGTGTCACCATATCACCAGAGACACTGCAGACATTCCCTGGCACCCACTTGGATTGTAACAGCTACACAGGACTTGCTGGACCCAGGGGAGCGGCAGGATTACCAGTGGTCTAGCCCTCAGGGAGGGCTGCTCCAGAGAGAAGGGAAAGAGCAGCATACCAAAGGAGTGTGAACGGAGAGGAGACCAGTGCAAACACTCTCCTGGCCCGGGAGCTCCAGCTGGTAGGCTGAGAGTGACTGTGCCACTTCCAGCAGAGATGTGGGTGGTGTGCTTGTCTCTGCAACAAAGGAGTGTGGTTCCATCCCAGTGGACAGAAAGCCTCAGTGCTCAGGCATGGACATGGAGAGGGAGAGAGGAACTTCTCCTCTCCCCACCTACAGCTTCAGAGACAGCCCTGGCTTCACATGTGATAGGTTGGTAAAGACACATCAGAGGATAGCCATTCTAGGGCTATTAGGGATGGCCATGTCCCCACTGGCAGTATGCCCACTGGGCCCAGGCTTGCATGAAAGATGAGGCCTGTCATCATCTCTACATGAACAGCAACATTTCTGCAGTGGTGAGCAGGAGAGCCAAAAACCTGAGTGTTTTGGGCTGAAAGAGGAGATTTTGCACAGAAGATATTTCAACAGTGAGCGAGAAGGCAAATGTCTTTCATGGCTCTTGGCTATACTGACTGCCGCCTGGAGATAGACGGCAGCGTCCATCCTATTTGCATGTCCCAAGCACTGAGACAAGGGTGTGGCAGGGAGCAGATCACATTTTTGCCTGCCTAGGCCTTGGAGCTGGGGCAGCCCTGCTCCTCCTCTGCAGAGATCTTAATAAATTTGACCCTGCCATCCTAATCAGGGCTGGTGCTTGTGCCTGATGTTGGGATTTCCAAGGGCAGCCTTGGTGGTTCAACTCAGCCCAGGTTTGTCCCCAACTCAAGGACTGAAAAGGGAGTTCAAGCCACTGTGCATTCCACAAACCAGTTCATGTCCCCAGACAAGTGAGAGCTTCACTAAGTAAACAAAGATCAAGCATATTCCCATCTGCCTTTGCTATAACCAGCTCTTACCCTTAAGCACCACCCACTGGCCTGAAGGTTGAATTGCACAACCCACTACAAAATCTGCTGACACAAGTGCACAGCACTGGGAAACAAAATAAGCTTCCTGAGACCTCTAGCATCCCAGCCCCACAGGAGGCAGTGAGTTAGCTCACACACCCAGTCCATCACTATTATAGCCAGCATTTTAAAAAGCCACCACACAAAAGTTATCTACAACCAAGGAACTTACACATTCTTTGCCACTGAAAGCACCCAGAACCAAACCTAAATGACCTTACACAACATACATTATACTCACATCATCAATTGGAAAAGAAAAAATTTCTTCCCAAATGAAACAATAAGTACATTACAAAATAAGAAGAGATAATTTATCCAGTTAAGAAGAAACCATAGAAACAATTTTGGATGTACAGAAAACAGAATATTACAACACACCAAAAGGATCATACTAACTGTCCAGCAATTGAACCTAAGCAAAATGACATCTTTGAAATATCAGATAAATAATTTTAAATATTTATTTTAAAGAAGCTTAATGAAATCTAAGAGAATGTTGAAAATCAACACACACAAAAATGAGAAAAATAATTCAAGGTATGAATGATAAATTTGCTAAATATATAGATGTTAAAAACAAAAAACAAGCCAAACATCTGGAATTTAAAAATTTGTTGAAGGAATTTAAAACTATTGCTGAAATCTTTAACAATAAACGAGACCAAGTGAAAGAAAGTTTCCCAGAGCTTGAAAACAGGTCATTCCAATTAACCCAGTGGGATAAAAATAAAGAAAAACATTTTTTTTAATGAATAAAGCCTGTACTCAGTACAGGGTTATGAAAACAACCAAGCCTGCAAGTTGTAGGTATCCCTAAGGGAGAAGAAAGAGAAAAAAGTTTGGGAAACTTATTTGAGGAAATAAGTGAAAGTTTCTTTACTCTCGCTAGAGACTTAGACATCCAGATATAAAGACTCAAAGAACTTTAACAAGATACACTGCAAGACAGACTTCACAATGACATATAGTCATCAAATTACACACAGTCAATATGAAGAAATAAGACTCAAATGTCAACAAGAGAAAAAAAAGGCATCTCATAACATATAAAGGAAATTCCATAAGACTAACAGTGGATATCTTAGCAGAAACTCACAAGCCAGAAGAGATTGAAGTCCAATTTTCAGATTCTTAAATAAAAAATATTATCAATCATGAATTTTGTAACTTGCTAAATTAAGCTTTATAAATAAAGGAGAAATAAAGTCTTTCTGGCCAAGCAAACACTAAGAGAATTCACCATCACTAGGCCAGTTCTGCAAGAAAGGCTCAAGGCAATCTAAACCTTGAAATGAAAGCTTGATAATCTCCGTCATAGAAACACATGAAATTATAAAACTCACAGGCCTTATAAAACAGTAATTGAGACTATAAAGCAACTAGACAACCGACATTATGACAAAACAAAACTTAACATATCAATATTAACTTTCAACATAAATGAATTAAATACTCCACTTAAATGGTATAGATTAGTGGAATGAATTAAAAAAATAAGATCCAACTATATGCTGCTTATAAGAAACCAATCTAATTATTAAAGACACATAGATTCAAAGTAAAGTATGGAAAAAGATATTTCAAACAATTGGAGACCAAAAGCAAACAGGATTAACTACATTTATGTCAAATGAAACAGACTAAATCTACAACAGTTAACAAAGACAGAGTCATTATATAATGATAAAAAGATCAATTGAATGGGAAGATATAATAATCCTAAATATATAAGCACCCAACACTGGAACACCCAGAATGATAATGCAAATACTACTTAATATGGTTTGGCTCTATATCCACACCCAAATCTCATCCAGAGTTGTAATCCCCACATGTCAAGTAAGGGACTTGCTCAGAGGTGACTGGATCATGGGGGTGGTCTCCCTCATGCTGTTCTTGTGATAGTGAGTTCTCATGAGAGCTGATGGCTTTAAAGTGTAGCACTTTCACCTTCTCTCTCTCTCCTGATACCTTGTAAGATGTGCCCTGCTTTCTCTTCACCTTCCACCATGATCATAAGTTTCCTGAGGCCTCCCCAACCATGCAGAACTGTGAGTCAATTAAATTTATTTCTTTATAAATTATACAGTCTCAGGTGTTATTTTATAGCATTGTGAAAACAGATAACACAGAGAATTGGTACCAGCAGAGTAGGCTGCTGCTATAAAGAAAATCTGAAAATGTAGAATTGACTTTGGAACTGGGTAATGGGCAGAGGTTGGAACAGTTTGAGGGGCTCAGAAGAAGACAGAAAGATGTGGGAAGGTTTGGAACTTCCTAGAAACTTGTTGAATTATTTTGACCAAAATGCTGACAGTGATATAGACAATGAAGTCCTCATCAGATGGGGATCTGGTACTATTGTGGACTGAAGCAAAGGTGAGTCTTGCTATGCTTTAGCTAAGAGACTGGTGGCATTTTCTCCCTGTCCTAGAGATCTGGGGAACTTTAAACTTGAGAGAGATGATTTAGGGTATCTGGTGGAAGAAATATCTAAGCAGCAAAGCATTCAAGAGGTGACCTTGCTTTTACAAAGAGATGATATGAAATTGGAACTTATGTTTAAAAGGGAAGTAGAGTGTAAAAGTTTGGAAACTTTGCAGACTGACCATGGTAGAAAAGAAAAACCCATTTTCTCAGAGGAAATTCAAGCAGGCTGCAGAAATTTGCATAAATAATGAGGAGCCAATGTTAATCATCACTGACAATGGGGAAAATGTCTCCAGGGCATTTCAGAGATCTTCAAGGCAGCCCCTTTCATCACAGGCCCAGAGGCCTAGGAGGAAAAAATAGTTTTTGTGGGTCAGGCTCAGAGCCCCACTGCTCTGTGCAGCCTTGGGATTTGGTGCTCTGTGTCCCAGCTGAAAGCTCCAGCCATGGCTATAAGAGGCCAACACACAGTTCAGGCCGTTGCTTCAGAGAGTGCAAGCACCAAGTCTTGGTGGTTTACACATGGTGTTGGAGGGAAAAATGGTTTTGTGGGGCAGGCTCAGGGCCCCACTGCTCTGTGCAGCTTTGAGACTTGGTGCTCTGCATCCCAGCCAAAAGTTCCAGCATGGGTAAAAGAGGCCAATGTACAGCTCAGGCCATTGCTTCATAGAGTGCAAGCTCCAAGCCTTTGTGGCTTACATGTGGTTTTGGGCCTGCAGGTGCACAGAAGACAAGAGTTGAAGTTTGAGAACCTTCACCTAGATTTCAGTGGATGTATGGAAATTCCTGGATGTCTGGGCAGAAGTTTGCTGCAGAGGTGGAG
This sequence comes from Homo sapiens, assembly GCF_000001405.40. Taxonomy (NCBI): domain Eukaryota; kingdom Metazoa; phylum Chordata; class Mammalia; order Primates; family Hominidae; genus Homo; species Homo sapiens. The sequence goes on from NC_000002.12 coordinate 155,819,362, forward strand.
CCTTCATGGCAAACCTCTTCTTGGGTAGTGCAAAGGGGAATTGTGGGGTTGGAGCCCCCCACACAGAACCTCCAGTGGGGCAATGCCTAATGGAGCTGTGAGAAACAGGCCACTGTCCTCTAGACCTCAGAAAGGTAGGTCCACCAACAGCTTGCACCATGCACCTGGAAAAGCTGCAGGCACTCAATGATAGTCCGTGAAAGAAACCATGGGGACTGTACCCTGCAGAGCCACAGAAATGGAGCTTCCCAAGGCCATGGGAGTAACCCCTTGCATCAGCATGCAGCATGACCTAGATGTGAGACATGAAATCAAAGATTATGGAGCTTTAAGGTTTTTTTTTTGTTTTTCTTTTTGTTTTGAGACAGAGTCTCACTCTGTCACCCAGGCTGGAGTGCAGTGGCATGATCTTGGCTCACTGCAACTTCCACCTCCCAGGTTCATGCAATTCTCCTGCCTCAGCCTCCCAAGGAGCTGGGATTACAGGTGCCCATCACCATGGCTGGCTAATTTTTGTATTTTTAGTAGAGACAGGGTTTCAGTGCATTGGCCAGGCTGGTCTTGAACTCCTGACCTCAGGTGATCTGCTTGGAGCTTTAAGATTTAATGACTGTCTGGCCAAGTTTTTGACTTGCAGAGGCCCTGTGGCCCCTTTGTTTTGGCTGAATTATCCCACTTAAAATGGGAACATTTACCCAATGCCAGTACCCCCAGTTGTATCATGGAAGTAACTAACTTGTTTTTGATTTTACCATCCTATAGGTAGAAGAAACTTGCCTTGTCTCAGATGAGACTTTGGACTTGGACTTTTGGGTTAATGCTGGAATGAGCTAAGACTTTGGGGGACTGTTCAGAAGGAATGATTGGTTTTAAAATGTGAAAAAAACCATGGTATTTGGGAGAGGCCAGGGGCAGAATAATATGGTTTGGCTTTGTGTCCCCACTCATATCTCATCTTGAATTGTAATCCCCACATGTCAAGGGAGAAACCTGGTAGGAGGTGATTGGATCATGGGGGCAGTTTCACCCATGCTGTTCTTGTGATAGTAGGTGAATTCTAACAAGACCTGATGACTTTAAAGTGTGGCACTTCCTCACCGTCTCTCTCCTGCAACCATGTAAGGCATGCCTTGCTTCCTCTTCACCTTCTACCATAATTGTTAGTTTCCTGAGGCCTCCCCAGCCATATGGAACTGTGAATCAATTAAACCTCTTTTTTTAATAAATTACCCAGTCTCAGGTAGTATATATATAGCAGTGTGAAAACTAATACACTACTAGACCTAAGAAAAGAGATAGCAATACAATAATAGTGGAATTTTAACACCCCACTGACAGCACTAGAAACATAATTAAAGGAGTAAATGAACAAAGCAACACTGGACTTAAATTAGACTGTAGACAAAATTGACCTGATAGACATTTACAGAATATTCTACCCAACAACTGCAGAATATACACTTTTCACATCATTACATGGAAGTTTTAAGGTAGACCAACTGTAAGTCCACAAAACAAATATTAATAAGTTTAAATAAATCAAAATTATATCAAATATCTTCTCAGACCACAGTAGAATGAAAGCAGAAATTCATTTTAAGAAGAACTCAGGAAACTATACAAATACATGGAAATGAAAGAACATGATCTTCAATTATCTTTGTGTCAACAAATTAATGTGGAAATTAAAAAATTTTTTAAATGAATAAAAATAGATGCACAATAAAGCAAAACATTTGGGATACTACAAAAGCAGTATGGAAATGGAAGTTAATAGCATTAAATGCCTACATCAAGAAAATAGAAAGATCACAAATTTACAACCTAACATTATACCTCAAGCAACTAGGAAAACAAGAACAAACCAAACTCAAAGCTAGCAGAAGAAAAAATTATAAAAGACATTAAAGAAGAGCTAAATGAAATTGAGACCAAAATATAAAAATAAAAAGGATTAATATAATTAAAAGTTAATGTTTTGAAAGGATGAACAAAATAAATAGACTGATAGCTAGATTAACCAAGAAAGGATGAGAGAAGCTTCAAATTAGCAAAATCAGAGATGAAAATGGAGACATTACAAGTGATGCCATAGAACTATAAAGATCATGAGAGACTTTTAGGAACAGCTAGCTCTACACTCACAAACTAGAAAACCTAGAGGAAATGGATAAAGTCATAAGTGACTTCAGTAAAGTTTCAGGATACAAAATCAATGCACAAATATTAGGAACATTTCTATACACCAATAATGACTAAGCTGAAAATCAAATTAATTCCATGTATTATAGCTTCAAAAACAATAAATAAAATACCTAGAAATTCATTTAACCAAGGAGATAAAAGGTCTCTACAAGGAAAACTACAAAACACTGATGAATAAATGAAAAAACATCCTGTGCTCAGGGGTTGGCAGAATCAATATTGTTAAAATGACCATACTCCCTAAAGCTAGATACAGATTCAGTGAAATTGCTATCAAAATACCAAAGTCAGAAAACTCACCTGGAACCTACAAGACCCTGAATAGCCAACCCAAGTCTAAATGAAAAGAATAAAACTGGAGACAACACATTAGCTGACTTTAAATTATACGATAAGTTCATAGTAACCAAAATAGCACGGTACTGGTATAAAAATAGACACATAGATCAATGGACCAAAATAGGGAACCCAGAAATAAAGCCATATACCTATGACCAACTGCTCTTTGACGAAGTCAACTAAAAACGTACACTGGGGAAACAATACCCTATTCAACAAATTGTGCTAGGAAAATTGGATTGTCATATGCAGAAAAATGAAACTGGACCCCTATTTCTCACCATATACAAAAATTAACTCAAGGTGATTAGACATTTAAAATTAAACCTGAAACTATGAAATTCCTAAAATAAAACCTAGGAGAAACTTCTGGACATTGACCTAGGCCAAGAATTTATGACCAAAACTTCAAAAGCACAAGCAACAACAACAACAAAAGTAGACAAATGGGACTTCCTCAAGTGAAAATGCTTCTGCACAGCAAAAGAAATAATCAGCAGAGTAAATAGGTAATCTACAGAATGGGAGAAGATATTTCCAAACTATGCATCTGACAAAGAACAAATACCCAGATTCTCCAAGGAAGTCAAACAACTCAAGAAGAAAAAACAAAACAAATAACTTCATTTAAAAATGAGTAAAAAAACATGAAGACACTTCTTAAAAGAAGACATACACATTGCCAACAAACATGAAAAAACTTTAAACAACATCAATGATAGAGAAATGCAAATTAAAACCACAATGAGATATCATCTTATACCAGTCAGAATGGCTATTCTCAAAAAGTCAAAAAACAACAGATGTTGGTGAGAGTGTGGAGAAAAGGGAATACTTATACGCTGTTAGTGGGAATGTAAATTAGTTCAATCTCTATGGAAAACAGTATGGAGATTGCCAAAGAACTGAAAATAGAGCCACCATTCGACCCAGCAATCCCACTACTGGTATCTACCCAAGGGAAAAGAAATCTTTATATGAAAAACAAAAAAAAAGACACATGCACTTTTATGTTTATCACAGCCCTATTCAGAATAGCAAAGATATAAAATTGACCTAAGTGCCCATCAACAGATCATTGGATAAAGAAAATGTGCTCTGTATATGTACACACAAACACACACAAACACACACTCATGTACACATACACCATGGAGCACTATTCAGTCATAAAAAAAGAATAAAATCATGTCTTTTGCAGCAAAATGTATGCAATCATCGGCCATTATATTACAGGAAATAAATCAGAAACCAAAAGTTAAATACTGACTTGTTCTCATGCATAGGTGGGTGCTAAATAATGTGTACACATGGTCATAGAGAGTTGAATAATAGACATTGGAGACTTAAAATGTGAAATGGTGGGAGGGGGTGGGGGATGGAAATTATTTAATGAGTACAATGTACACTCTTCTGTTGATGGTTAAACTAAAAGCCCAGTCTGTTGTTTAATTTCCACGTATATGTAAGTTTCTCTAATTTGTGTTTTTTTGACATTATTTTATTGTAGTCAGTGAACATACTTTATATTATTTCTATTCTTTGAAACTTACTGAGCTTTTTTAAAATGACATAACATATTAACTACCTTAAAGAATATTCCCTGTGTACTTGAAAAGAATGTATATTCTTCTGATATTGAATGGACTGTTCTGCATATATCTATTAGATTTCATTTGTTTATAATGTTTTTCGAGTCTTCTTTTTTGTTGATGTATTTGATCTGTTATGAGAAGTGGGCATCTGAGTTCTCTATTAGTGTTTAATTATCTATTTCACCTTTCATTTCTGTCAGTTTTTGCTTTATGCATTTTGGTGCCCTGTTATTAAGTGCATATATACGTATAATTGTGATATCTTCCTGATGCATTGATTATTTTATCATTATAAATATCTTCCTTTATGTCTAGTAACATTATTTGTTTCAAAGTCTATTTTGTTTATTGTTATTATAGTCACTTCCTAATTTTTTCTTTGCGTAAATCTTTTTTCCATTTTTTATTTTTTAAATTGATTCATATATTTAAATCTCAAGTGTCTTAGATCTTTTCTTAATCCTGTCTAAAAATTACTCCTTATGAATTGGAATATTTTATTCATGAAGATTTACTGTTACTATTGACATAATTGGATTTTCACATACCATTTTGCTTTTTGTTTTTATATCTCCTGTGTCTTTTTCCTCCTCTTTTCCTCTTTTACTGCTTTTTTTGCATCAGGTAAATATTTTCTCTGGAAGTATTTTAATATATTTTTATGAATGGTTTACTCTGTTGTTTAAGTTATTTCCATAGTGGCTGCTTTCAGGCTTATCATATAGATATTAACTTATAAGAAATGTCTTTATATTTATACAAACTTAATTTCACTGAGATAGGAAAACATTACTCCCATATAACTATTTTCTTTCCCTCCTTTTGTGATATTACTCTCAAACACACTACACTTATTTCTTCAAACCAAATGACGCTTATTAAAATCATAATTTTATATAGTATTATGTACTTTAAAGAAACTAAGGGACGAAGGGTGAGCAAATATTTATTTATAGCTTTGTTATATTAACCTTCTCATCTATCATTTGTGATTCTGTTTGTTTATTCCCATGGTTTCAAGTTTTTATTTGTAGTCATTTCCTTAGCCCAATACAGCTTTGCATCCAACCCACATGTTCTGTGCTGTTATTAGACAATATATTACAATTCTATGTGTTATTAAGTCCAACAATACTATATACACATATAGTGTATGAATGTATGTGTGTGTATATACATTATATATGTATTAAATAGGTATGTGTGTGTATACATGTGCAGACTAGGCATCCTCAATTCAAAAAATTCAAAATCTTTAATGCTCCAAAATCCAAAACTTTTGAGCATTGACATGATGCCACAAGTGGAAAATTTCACACCTAACTTCGGTGATGGGTCACAGTCAAAACACAGGCCCACAACACACAGTTCATTCAGCATCTGTACAGTAACCTTTTAATCAAGACACACAATTGCAGGTGGAGACTGAAAGCCTGCTGTTGTTTCCTGTTGCTGTTGTTTAACAGCCTACACAGGTATTCTGGTGCTGCTACTGTGCTTCTTAGTTACCATAAACACATAATTTTTTCACTATTACTGATATGTCATACTTTTTACTGTTAAGTACATATGTGTGAATAAGTATAAGAAAATAATTACTTACTGATAGCAGAGAAATTCAGATTCAGGAACGATGGTGATGCCAACAAAAACAGATTTTCCACGTGAGTGACTGAGATAGTGACACTTTTGCTTTCTGATGGTTCAATATGCAGAAACTTTGTTTCATACACAAAATTATTAAAAATATTATACAAAATTACTTTCAGGCTATGTGTATAAGGTATATATGAAACATAAATAAATTTTGTGTTTACACTTGGGTCTCCTCTCCAAGATATCTCATTATGTATATGCAAATATTCTACAATTTAAAAAAATCTGAAATCTGAAACACTTCTGTTCCCAAGCATTTTGGATAAGGGATACTCAACCTGTGTATACATTTCCTCTGAATCTTTGTTTATTTTTCCTCATTAATGTCTTCAAATTTTCTAATTCTTTCCTCTGCCTGTTAAAATCTACTAATGAGCCCCTCTGGTAAATGCTTCATTTTAGTTATTACACTTTTCAGTTTCAGATTTTTCTATTTTTCAAATAATTTCCATGTTTTTGTTGATCTTCCCTATCTAATGTAACACTTTCATCATAGTTTACTTCTTTAATAATGGTTTTCTTTAGCTCTTTGAACATATTTATAAGGGCTACTTTGAAGTATTTATCTATTATACACAATTTCTGTTGTTTCTCACCAGCAGTTTTTGTTGCTTGCTTTTTTTCTAGTATTTGGCTCATCCTTTCATGTTTCTTTGAATGTCTCATTTTTTTTTTCTGGAAACTGAACAATTTAGATAATGTATTGTAGCAATTTTCCTCTCCATTCTAGAGCTGGTTATTGATATTTTCTTCTTTACTTGTTTAGTAACTGGCTGGGTTGTTTTAGTGAAGTCTGCGTGATGTTGCTTTTCAGAGGACACACCCTTTGGTAAGCCCAGAGTTATTCTAGGTTCGACAGGACTCTCTTTATCTCTCCTTACCACACCAGATGTTAAGCTCCAGCAATTGCTGGCTCATTGCTCTACTGTTTACAGTAATATCCCAGGGCATAAATTGTTCCACACACTAATCCAATCAAATTTAGGCTACTTGAAGGTGTAGTTCCAAAGGTCAGTGTTTGAGATTTGTTCTGACACCAGAAGGGCTCTTGCAAGCTGTCTATTTCTCCATTTCTTTCCAACAAGCTAGCTTCTCTAAGAATAGCTCATATTTCACATGAATGTGTTCATCACTTGTCAACTGCTTTTTACCTAGATGTCCTCCTGAGAGTGCTCCAGTGCCTGACTTTTTTGCATTTTGCTACAAATGAAGTTCCTTTCTTTAAAGTGGCCTTTGAAGTTCTCTGTTCTACGGCTTGCTTGTTTTCTCAGACAAAATATTAACCCAGTGTTTGGCGTTGGGACAGGGAAAATGGCGAGCTTCTTTCTAAATGACACCCCAGTTGAAGAGCTGAACACTCAGTGGATAAGAAGAGGGCAGCATCTTTAGGTATCTTTGGCATGCTTCCTTTGTTCTTATGAAATCCTCATCCCATGAACCAGGGCAAGGGCAACTGGGGGCTCCAGTATGCCCAGACACCACTCCCATACTACATCATTTTTCCCATAAGTGAGGACTAGGCAATAAAAGGGGTCCTCCGTGCCTTAGCCATACTCATCCAGAATTTAGATTCAGAAACAGGTAGCTGGGATCAAGACGAAAAATGTTGATGTTCTGAACCATAAGGGAAGAGAGCCCTCCAACTTGATGCTGGAAAAAGAGAGAAGCCTGTGTTCTTGGCTGTTCCATTTTGGAGTAGAGTTTCTGTCCAGCTGATCTGGAAAAGGGGTGATGAAAGGCATGGGTCTTGGTTTAAGTATCCAAGCTTTTGCAGTTTTTACTAAGTATAATAGATTTCTTTGAATAAGTGGTTTTTTTTTCATTTGCTATATACAATTTTCTGAAAACTTCAATGTTGTTTTTATTTATAATACTCACTAGTTTCACTAGGGAGTGGACCCATGGAGCTCCTCACAGTGATATCAGAAGAGGAGCTCCCATTTTCCTCCCTGTTGAAGTACATATAAAGAGAATCACATAGAGGTACTTTTGTGATATCTGCTTCTTTTACTGAGCATTATGCATCTGAGATACTATTATGCTGTTATGTATAGCAATAATTTTTTCTCTTTCATTCCAATATAATACTTCATGGTATGAATACGCCATAACAAGTCATTGTTCTCTTCAGTGTCATTTGGATCATTTTCAGTTTGGGGGTATTATAAGTAAAGCTCTTATAACAATCATCATATACTTTCTAATCAACATAATCATTTATTCTCAGCATACTCCTCTGAATGAAACTTACGAGTCATAAATATATGTATGTTTAACTTTAGTAATATTTGCCAATTTCTCAAGAACATGGTTCCAATATACACCAGCATCAGCAATAAATAAGAGTTTTAGTTGCTCCATACTTAGACAACCTTTGGTATTATCAGGTTCTTTTAATTTTAGCCCTTCTGGTAGCATATCTCATTCTGATTATATTTTCCATCTCCGTTATAACTAATGATGTTAAGTATCTTTCCATATGTTGGCCAAATGAATAGTGTTTTTTGGGTGCCATTTTGAGTTCTTTGCCCATTTTTTAAAAAAACTGGTTTGGCTGTCTTTTTCTATTTTATTTTTAGGAGTTCTTTATATATTATGTTAGATATATGCATTGCATATCTTCTCCTAATCTGTGGCCTACCTCTTCACTCTTTTTATTATATCTTCTGATGAACAAAATTATTTATTTTAAAATGAATTCCAATGTAGCAACCTTTTCTTTTAGAGCTAATTTTTTGTGCCCTTTTAAAGAAATATTTGTCTCCACCAAGGTCATAAATATATTGTCTTATATTTTTTTCTGGAAACATAATAGTTTTACATTTCACATTTGCAACTATAAACTATCCTAAATTACTCTATGTCTAGTATACAATCTATTTTAAAGTCCATTTTTATTCATATGGATATAGAATTTGTCCAGCATTATTTATTAAACAATCTTATGCTCACAAAATTGTCATGGCATAAGCAGGCCTATCTCTTAATTCTTAGTTGCTTTGGTGTTTTAAACTATAACTACATCAAACCACACTGTCTTAACTACTAAAGCTTTACAATACACTATGAAATCTGGTAATGTATATCCTTCATCTTTGTTTTTATTTAAGGTTGCTATGGCTATTTCTGGTCATTTATATTTTAATATAAGTTTAGAATCAGAATTTTTAAAGTCTAATCAGTGTGTCAAAATGATTAAATCAGAGAGTCATTTCTATCCACTAGTAAAAAGAGACCCAAGAGATTTCTTTATAAATGTTTTAGAGGACAATAGGTGGGAATACACTAAAAGAAAAAAAACAAAAGATGTTTTAGCTAGATATTCTTGTCTGTAGAATGATGTAGAAGAGTTTGGCAAAGTAGTTTAAAAAATACTGCTTAATACATTTATATGTGTATTAGTTCATTTTCATACTGATATAAACAACATCCTGAGACTAGGTAATTTATAAATAATAGAGGTTTAATTGACTCACAGTTCCTCATGGCTGCGGAGGCCTTAGGAAACTTAAAATCATGGCAAAAGTGGAAACAGGCACACCTTACATGGCAGCACGAGAAGGAAAGCATGTGAAGTAGGAACCACCAAACACTTATAAAACCATCAGATCTCATAAGTACTCATTACTATCATGAGAACAGAATGGAGGAAACTGCTCCCATGATACAATCACCTCCCTCCCTCAACACGTGGGGATTACAATTTGAGATGAAATTTGGGTAGGCACACAGAACCAAACCACATCATTCCACCCCTGGCTCCTCCCAAATCTCATGTCTTTTCACATTTCAAAACCAATTATGCCTTCCCAACAAAAACAGAAACTTCTTCCGCCTGATATCCTAAATCATCTCTCTCAAGTTCAAAGTTCACAGATGTCTAGGTCAGGAGCAAAATACCACCAGTCTCTTTGCTAAAGCATAGCAAGAGTCACCCTTGCTCCAGTTCCCAATAAATTTCTCATCTTCATTTGATGCCACCTCAGCCTGGACTTCATTGTGCATGTCACTATCAGCATTCTGGTCAAAGCCATTCAACAAGTCTCTAGGAAGCTCCAGACTTTCCTACATCTTCCTGTCTTCTTCTGAGCCCTCCAAACTGTTCCAACCTCTGCCCATAACCCAGTTCCAAAGTCACCTCCACATTTTCAAGTATCCTTTTAACAGTACCTCACTCTCTGCAGTACCAATTTATTCTATCGGTCCGTTTTTACACTGCTATAAAGAACTTCCCAAGACTGGGTAATTTATAAAGAAAAGAGGTTTAACTGAATCACAGTTCCCCATGGCCAGGGAGGCCTCAGGAAACTTAAAATTATGGCAGAAGGGGAAGCAGGTACATCTTACATGGTAGCAGGCGAGAGAGAGCATGTGAAGGAGGAACTGTCAAACACTTATAAAACCATCAGACGTCATAAAAACTCATTACTATTATGAGAACAGCATGGGAAAAACCACCCTCATGATCCAATCACCTCCCTCCCTCTACACATGGGGATTACAGGTCCCTCTCTCAAGACGTGGGGATTACAATTTGAGATGAGATTTGGGTAGAAACATAGAGCCAAATCATATCAATATTCAAACCATAATTTTGGGTAAACAACTCCAGTTCTACTCTAGTTCAACTCTATCATAAAGCTTTTCCTACATTCTGAGTATATACATTACCAACTACATGTTATCAACTAGAGCATATATACTGCAGTTTACAAAACAATTTATTTGTTTTGTGCATATGAGTCTTATTTTTCATGTGAGTTATGAGTAAGATTATGAGTTCCCTAAGGGCAAAGGTCTTTTAGATTTCTTTTTACCCTTCATGACAAGGTAACCCATAGTACTTAGTGACATGCTCAAAATACTGAAACATTCAAGAAATGCCTCTTGATTGATTGGCCATTGACTGAGAGCCTGTCGACTGTCTGCTATTTAGCTGCTGGCATTTTCTATGTATTTCCCATCTAGCTTTGGTGATGATGTTCAATAGAGACAGATTTCTTTGCAAGTAATTATATTGCTTTTTACATTCTCCTTGAAGGAAGACTGGTCATCAGTGTTAGAGATCTAGTATTAACACAAGAAAAGAAACATGAGTTTTAAAAAAAAAATCTTTGAAGAGACCACAGCAAATGATAATGGAGAAAGCAGTCCACAGGCAATGACACCTTTGGATCCCCTCATACCTAGTCAATCTTCTAATTATACACTGTAGAATGCTAACCACAAAACAGACATACTGTGATTATCTGTAAACATTAGAGGATATAGCATCGAGTTGTATTGCCTCTACCAGGACTCTAAGCCGTAAACTTGTAAGTACATTAGAAGCCGACACTCTTAGCAGACTTTGCTGAATTGCTGGCAGCATCAACATCTGATCGATATGCATGTTCACCAGCCAAGCTGACTAGTACATCTGTTCTGTGAAGAAACATACATTCTGCCTCTAGTACAATCAGTGTAATTAAAAATTAACATGCATTAATTGTTAGAGCTGATGTAAACAGCTGATGTTCCACTTAGCACTGTCTTCTGTACATATCATTAGGCAAAGCCAAATATTGTTAAGTAAACAGGCAGCGCTTACAAAAAGGAGAGAAATAGAAAACTAATTCCAACTAAATAAACTGACACTGTATTAAAAGTCAAATTACAATGATTAACCAGAGCCAGATTAGGCTCTGGATCTTCAGAGGAAAACAATTATAAAAGTCACATTTAATTATTTGAATCTTATTTTGGTAAATGTATTTAGGCTTAGTCTGAAATAGAGTCAGTGCATGCATAATACACTAGGATTTCAAATGAGTAGAAAAGAACTCTAGGAAAAGTATGATTCAGGATTGATTTATGGCTGAAACATTCTGTGAGAATGCATCATTCACAGCCACTTCAGTAACCGGTGTTCTCTGGGGAAACCCAAATCTGATGTTTAATGTTAAAAGGGGTCTATTTTCTTCTGCATGCATCTGCATAACTACTGTCAGTGTCGATGAGAGTTTCAGGCACATACTGAGAAGAGAATATACACCTCACTACTTAAGTTTCGCCTGACTTCTTTTTTTAAATAATGTCATAGCAAAATGATTTCTCTATCTTGATTTAAAACCAGGAAAAGAAAAAAAAATCTCCAGCAAGCAAATCTGTCCAGTGAGATGCACTACCAGCATAAGTTCACAGACCAGTTCTGTAGTTATAGATTGCCTCGGGCATTCAGCTGCTGGGGCCCCAGGCTTTTCCTCCCCTTCTGAGGTTTTCCCTGTAAGTGACTTGCCTGTCACTCTCAAGTCTAATTTAAAAATAGTGTGCATTTAAATTTTGAGAATGATTTCTTAGGTTATTTTCTCATGAAGTTTGACCAAGTTTCAAAATACCAAAGTCCCAATAAGTGTGATTTTTTTGAAAAAAAATAAAAATCACAGAGTGTTAAGGTCCAAGGGAGAAATGGATTTATCTAGAAATCACTAGGGAAAACATTGCTATTCAATGGTATTCACAAAGGTTCAACCCTTTTTTGTTTTTTGTCATAATTATAGTCATTATAAAGAGAATAACTATAAAAATTTCCTTAGCATGTAGGCATGAAATGGTGAATCCTCCACTGTAAGTATACAGTGCTTTAAGAAAGTGCCTACATTATTTATTCATAATTGTGTTAAATTTGAATACAAACTGAATTCATTCATGTATTAAAAGTTATAAACATGTTAAAACTACTCATAACAAAACACATCAGATATGTCAAGAATCACAGCAATCAAAATGAAGCCTATAAAAGGTAAAAGTTACATAAGTGTAAGGCATGAATATAAAAGCTAGCTTAAGAGCTTCTAAGTTTTCTGTTGCTATTCAAAACCACCATTAATCTCCAAGCTTTAAACATAAAAGTTAAAAATTGGTAGTTATAGAATAACTGTTTTTGAAAATTTAAACTCAATTCCTAAAAGATATGATGATGATGATGATGAAGATGATGATTAAAATGTCTGATACTTACAAAACAGTAAGGCTTTAATATTGTCTATATTATACAGTTTACACTTCTGGCATGATATTAAATATATTTTTCTCTTTTTTAAGATGGAAAAATCCATTTAAAATGCTGTTTATAAATGGCCATTTAAGCAAAATAATTTGAAATGATGTTATAGTTAATTAAAAACTAACATATACCCAATGCATGGATTATTAAGAAATAAGTATAATATGCATTCTATAGAACCTACATTAAATATTAAGTATTTCTTTGATTTTTTCAATTACTCAGAAAATGTTGATGGTCTCATGGTGCCTCATACTCATGAAAATCTCTGAGCAGTAACTTACAAAGTATTGTAGGTATTTATGGTTTATATCATTAGGATAAACTCGCTTTTTACCTTGAAGATTACTTTTTAAAATATTTCTCATATCAGTTGTCTTGACATTTAATGTTTATGTATATTTACATATATGTATATATATGTGTGTATATATGTATGTAAAATTGTATATACATATATATAATTGTATACATCTTTGGATATGTAATTATATACAATATGTATATAAAATTGTAAAAATACATATATATATATATACATGTACACACACACACACACACACACACACAATAATTCTGGGAAATTCTGCCTAATTGCAGTTTCCTGTGTTTCTGCTGGGACTAGAAAATAATTTGCTAAAATGAAAAATATGTGTCTCTCTTTAAAAAAAAATTGAAAATACTAAAGCTGTCTCCTTCACTTTCAAAGAAAGGCAAGATAAAAATAAATACATTGTTGTTCATGAAAGTAATATATTCTCTGTAGTATTTTTATAAGGACCTTATATAAAATACAATGATTATAAATCATCAGTGTATTCAGAAATTTCCTCAAAGAATAAAGCGTGAATTTGTATTATCTTAAGTTTCCTCCATTTCGTAGGAGGCCTTTATGAATGTAGTAGCAACTGAATACATGATTTTCACAGAAAGGATTGGAGAGTAGAATATAAATATATAAAGAATATTTGTAGTTAAAAAAGCTTTATTACTACAAAGAATATTTATAGCTATAAAAGCTTCATTAATACTAGTGATTCTTAGAATGTAGTTAATACTATTAGAATTTTTTTTCTCTTAATTACCATCATTTTCTATGTTATTTTATTTTGGAACATTGCTTTCACTCTCTTCTTCTTTGTGGGAACAGGTCAAAGTCGGTTTTCATATTCAATTGTGCTTCCAGGTGATGGAATTTTCAGCAAATGCTATGTATAACTAACAGTTAAAAATGCATTTGTACTCTAAAATTCTTTATAGCACCTCAATCTACAAACAATTTTGCCAATGCAGTTTAAAAAATAAAATTAAGAAACTGATATGAACATTTTTCTGTGTGTAATAAAGCAACATCCAATGTTAATATCATAGGTAATCATTTTGTCTTTGTATTTATTTCAGAAAAAATAAAACTCATAGTTATCTCTGAATCTTATTACAATCAGTTTGTTGCTAAGGATTACTTTTTCTTGCTGTAGGATACATCAGACTTTCACTTTTCTTCTCCATTCCTTTATCCAAAACTACAAATGTGATGTCTCAGAAAACCATAATTGCAAACATAATAATGTATCTTCAGGCTACTAATGTGGTGAAATATTAGCCCTCATGGGCTCACTTTGAGTTTTCATTATTTATGAGTGGTGGGAATAAATGGCAGGTATAATATGGGAAGTAGGTCCACCTAGAGAACACAAATGTCTCAGGAGTCATATCCAATGGAAAGGTGAGAAGAAATCAAAGATATATTTTTATTGTTTTAGCATTTTGTTTAGTCAAGAACTAGAAATCAGGTAGCACTATTTATACTAAAGTGAGAGAGTCTCTCTACTACTATTAAAAGGACTCTCAAGATTTTTAAAGAAGCCAGATGTCTTGAAAGAACAGTTACACTAGTTTGAAATCTCAGAGAAATGCTTTCATTTAAATTGCCCAAACAGCGAATGATAGTGACATGGATGTAGTCAGAACAATGTTGAAAACGGGGAAATTAAAATTAAACTCAAACTTTCAGCCTTCTATCACCCTGTAACAAAATTACTGTGCTCATTTTGGAAAGATAAAAGCAACCAACCAAATTTAACTTGGTCCTTGAAGCTGCCCTGGAGTCCTGCTGTTTATTGGTTTGCTCTCTCTCAAATGCTGTACATTGTAGGGACCACAGTGTCTATTTTCTTCCTCCAATGTTCAATCTTCCCCTTCCCTCTCAAGGGAGGCCTCACCTCCTAATTCATAGAATTTTTAAAAGCCAAGAAGTAACAATTGCTTTAATATCCTACCACTAAACCTATAAAATCACCTGCATCTTTATCCTACTCTCCTCCCCATTTTGTGAAAATGTAAGTGTTCTCCTTTTGCTAAGGCTACCATTTCTGCTGGCCTCCAGATTCTATCCTTTGTGACTTCTCAGATAAACTTCTCTACTCATTTTATGGTCTCTCCTTCCTGATAACCACACTTCTGGCAAATGTTCTTTGCATGGTAATGTCTCCAGTTTTCACCTCTTATTGATTCCTAAATGTCTTAGTCTGAGAAATCCAGGATCAAGGGGGCCACATCTGATAATATCCTTATTGTTGGTAGGGAATCTCTGCAGAGTCCCAAGGCAGCACAGGATATCACATGGTGAGGAGAATGAGTGTAGTAGCTCAGGTTTCTCTTCCTTTTCTTGTATACCCACCAGTCACACTCCCATCATAGCCCATTCATCTATTAACCCATTAATTCCTGAATTGATTAATTCATTCCTGAAGGCAGAACCCTCATTACCCCATCACCTCTTAAAGACCTCACCTTTCAACTTTTCCCAATTGGGGATTAAATTTCAATGCAGGGTTTGGAGGAGACAAATATTCATAGCGTTCAACATTTGTTTGCAATTTAGAGGAGCAGATATCAAGAAAAGATTTAATGTGCGTTAAGAGATGTCTGGGAAAATACCTGCAAAAGAGGAAGGGGAGGGATCATGAATAGGTGAGGAAAACCTTCACACTGTGTTGAGGATCCCTGTGAAGGAGAGATTGAAGGAAGAAGGATTGGTTAGGAAGAGTCTCAGACAATGGCACAGTTTTAAGATATTGTGTCCAGAAAATGGCACACGGATTGAAAGATTATTTTGGAGCTGTGAGATTTAATGTCTGCCTTGCTGAGTTTCATGATTGTTTAGGGCCTGTTACTCCTTTCTTCCTGTTTATTTCTCCCTTTTGGAATAAGAATGTTTAACCTATACCTGTTCTGCCATTGTATTTTAGAAGTAGATAACTTGATTTTTGGTTTTACAGGCTCATAGTTGGAAAGGGTTTGCCTTGAGTCTTAGATGACACCTTAGACCTTTGTGTTGGTGCCAGACCAAATTAAGACTTTGGGGACTATTGGGATGGAATGATTACATCTGGCATATAACGAGGACACGAGTTGTCGGGGGATACTAGAATGTTATGGTTTGGATGTGCTTTGTCTCTGCCAAAATTCATACTGAAATTTAATTGACAATATAGCAGCGTTGGGAGGTAGAACATTTAAGAGGTGGTTAGGTTGTTAAGACAGATTAATGTCTTTCTTGTGAGAATGGGTTAGTTTCCACCAGATGAATTAGTTCTCATAGGAATTGATTAGTCCTTGTGAGAGCTGGTTGTTATAAAACAGGTCAGCCTTCTTGTCCTGTCTCTCTCTCACATGCTTTTTCTGTGTGATATCATCCACGATTTTATGATGCAGTTAGGAGACCCTCGCCAGACACCAGCACCATGTTTCCTGAACTATCCAGTCTCCAGGACCATGAGCCAAGATAAAACTCCTTTCTTTACAGATTACGCAGTCTCGGGTATTCTGTTATAGCAACAGATAATGGGCTAAGACACCCCTACTGTGTTCAGTCATTGGCGATAGGCAGCCAATGGTAAATATGGACTCTGCTCCAACAGTGGTGAATCCAGAAGTGCAACACCTGGAGCTATCATTTGGTTGTCTTCCTGCAGCATGTTTGAGTGTAATATTCTTTTGGCAACACACTGAGCCTCCTCCAATTCAACAGTTATACCCCATCATTAAAATCATTCTCATCAAGCGTCCAGTTGATAGAGTCAGTGAACTCTTTTTAGTTGTAAATTTTCTTGTTCTATCCACTGCATTTGACACTGCTGACCACTCTCTCTTTAAAATTATCTTTTCTCGACTTCTGTCACACTACTTTCAGATTTTTTTGTTTGTTTAAAATCTATTTCTTGTTAGTTTCCTCCTCTGAGAATTACATTTAAAAATCCACATTTCATTATTTCCAAAATTGGCAAATGTCACTATTATATACCAGGATAAAGGGATAAACTATAAAGTTTAGCATTGTTTTGATTTTTACATCTTGCTCTGTCACCATTCATACTATACTTAATTAGCACAATGCTTACCATTCTGCCCCTCAAACCTCTCAAATCCATCCATTCCCCTCCATCTGCATGTGTTTACCAAAACAGCAAGACACTTTCTCTCTCACCTGGATTGTTGCTAAATATCTCTTATACTAGTTTCTTTGTCATGAATCTACTCACACTACAGACTGGGTAATTTTGCGAAAATTTAAATCTGTTAAATACCAATTTCTTGTTAAAAACTCTTCAAGGTCCTTGAGATAAATTTCAAACTGCTTAATACTGTACTGAAGGCTCTTTAAAAACTGGCCCCTGCCTACCCTTTTATCTTCACCTTTCCCACTTCCCATTAGACTCTGTAATGAACTCAAACAACACTTTCTTAAAAGTTGCTCCTCTATGCAATACTCTCTTTTTTATGTCTGGCTGGATCTTTCTTTCCTCTAATTTTTCTCCTGACAAGCTTTTATCCATTTATTCAGTAAACATTTTTGAAACTTTCCCCGAAGTCTTTGAGTCCAGATTTGGTACGTGTTCTCCAAGATCTGAAAGCATCCTCTTCTACTACAACCTTACAGCAGTCTTCCCTTATTCAAAAGGAGTACATTCCAAGACTCACAGTAGATGCTTGAAACCCTAGATAACACAAAAACTTATACATCTTATGCTTTTTTCCTAAATATACATATCTATGATAAAGTTTATTTTATAAATTAGGCACGGTAACAACAATAATTAATAATAAAATAGAATAATAATAAAAATATATTGTAACAAAAGTTATGTAAATGCAGTCTCTCTCTCTCTCAAAATATCTATTGTTGAATTCACCTTTCTTCATGTGATGATGTGAGATGATAAAGTAGCTACATAATGAGATGAAGTGAGGTGAATGACAGTGGCATTGTCACATAGCGTTTGACTACTCTTGACTTTCTGGTGATACATCAGAAGGAGGATCATCTGCTCTGGGTGATCCTGAATCACTGAGCCCTGACAATATCGGCTGGATGTCAGGAGCAGATAATGTTAACTAACTGGGAGGCAGTATATACCGTGTGGATATGCTGGACAAAGGGGTAATTCATGTTCCAGGTAGGAAAGAGCAGGATGGCAGGAGATTTCATCACGCTACTCAAAATGGCATAGGATTTAAAACCTATGAATTATTTATTTCTGGAATTTTCCATTTAATGTTTTCAGACCACAGTTGACTGCAGGTAATTGAAACCTCAGGTGAAACCATGGATAAGAGCCTACTGTATTGTTGCTGACCCATTTCCTTTGCTAGCCATAGGATCCATGATAATTGGAGTCACATCTGTTCTATGTGTTATAATGCTTGAGACATAATAGATAGTCAATCAATATCCCCAGTATGCATTTTAGCAGTATGGCCTCAGAGATACTGTCTTTTTTCCCCTATTCTTCACCACGCATATATTTAATAATTTGATCTGGGAGTCAGAACAGCTGATTTGGCGCCTTTATCCTACTACTAATTATCTATGAAGTCTTGAGATAATCGCTCCAGCCTTCAGTTTCTTCATATCAGGATGTGCTCTGCAAGTGAGTGTTGTCTTTCATTTCCTATCAGAAAAAATGTTGTGTTTCACTGAACTAGATGACCTTTAAGATCGTCTCCAGTTCAAAAATATATTGCCACTGGGGCTACAAACTATTAAGTTGAGGTAGAAGACAAGTGTACAGAGTAACATCACTTAATTATATTAGTATTTAATTTTTACATAGTCTTCTTTTATTAATACAACACTTAGTAATTTCTTTCATTAGTTCTAGTTGACCTCATGACAACAGCTTGTGTCTCTCTGTACCTTTAGCCACAGTTCCCAACTCTTCTCAGTCATCCAGCTTGCACTTACTGGCTAATGTTCTTCTAAAGGTTTGTCTATAGTGTCTTAGCTTCTCTCTTCCTCAGTTTCCTCCTCTGCCAAATGGGTATAGTAATAGTACCTGTAAATTTTTTTATAAATAATTAAACGAGTTTATTTTCTTAAAGGGCCTGGCACACAGTAAGCTCTTATATAATGCTATCAATTATTATTATGGTAAGGAACCAAATCCTTTTTCATTTACCCTGCATTGATACCGGGATTAATCATCCATCCTCATGAGTATGAGGTCATGATATGGACTTTCAACTGGTTTTTGTTTTATTTTATTTTTTCTCTCCAGGACTTTAAATATTTTTCTAGTTTGCTGGATGCCACAAACCTTCCACTTTTGTTTAATAATGTCAGGAGATTTTTTCTCTTTGCATAAGCAATTTTTGTTACCAAAACAAAACAAGACAAAAAACATATACTAATTCCCTTTCCTTGTCGTTTCCAATTTTTACAGATTTCTCTTTATACCTATCCTTCTCACTCTTCAGCCTGACTGTGGAGTATCATATAGCTTAAACAAATTATGAGGAATATTTTAGAGAAACTAACATTTATAATATGTTCTTGTATTTCTACTGCAATGACCATGGGCTCAGATCAATTGAACCCTCCAAATCCATTACAACTTTAAGGGAGAGAGAGTTTCATATCATAAATATTTACTAAAGATCACATGAGAACCGTAGTACTCTTGGAGAAAGATATAAACCATGCTTTTGAAAAAGCTGTCTCTTACCATCCAGCCCCACAAAACCCAGTTCTTCTTCTAAGATGAGAACTACAGTACTTAACATTTCAAGAAAGAAAGAAAACAAAAAGGGAAGCTTTTTTTTATACTATACCTACTCTGTAGCATTATAGAAATTTAGCAGAAAAGACCAGACATCCCCAATACTCCCTCCAACTCTAACCTCAGTCTGTCCTTACTTCCATTGCCGCCCCAGGCAATATGGCATGAAAAGGCTCAGCAAGAAATATTCATTTGTAAAAGAAAAACAAATCATTATAGCAACACTCACTGGTCATTCTGTAGCAAATGTGCAATGCTCAGATTTTGTATTTTCCTGAAATAACATGCACATTTTAGGCATGAAATTATGATTGTTTGACTGTGAAATACTGCACCCAAACACCATGTGGCTTTTAGCAGCGTATCATCATATCAAGAACTATTTTTACCCTTTGGCGATTTTTCCTGCTTTGGCTCTGAGAGCTAGTCCATACGGTATTTGTATGTGGCATCAGTGGCAAAGATTTTTTAGAAGAGTAGATTTCTTCATTTAAACAGCATCACTGTGTAGTACCATGTACCAATGATAGCACAGAATCTAAACTAGAAATTAAAATAGTGTGATTTCAGGTTAACTGGCAAGAAATAAAGTCAGTGAGTATGAACAAGAGAGGAACAAAGATGACAAAGGACTTGGAACATACATGTCTTTTCATTTTCCTTAAAAGGTGATTTAAGTACATACTAGATTTTATAATACCAGAAGAATGACAGTATTTTTTAATGCAGTGCATTCTACATTTTTCCCCCAATGACTCTGAATCCTAGTGACAATGAACTTTGTCCGGCATCTCATTTGATGAAAGCAGGCAGAAAGACTTACAACTTCCATGTATTTGCTGCCTTTCAGAAGCCTGGGCAGAAGAAAAGAGCAACTTCTTGAAAGATTTAAGCACATATTGGTCCCCTTCCAGGACACAGACATGAAGCCATATAAGAAATATTTTGAAAAGACAACCAAAATTAGCCAAACTCTTTAAACTTTCAAAATGCTTGGAGCAAAAGTCTGTTTTAGTTTAATCCAAATTAGTTTGCAGACTTAACTAGAAAGAGAAGCTACAGGAAAATATGAGCTGGCTTAACGTGTGTGTCTTGTCTATAACTACAAAGTTGGCTTTTGTTTCTTGAAGAGACAAATCTGGTTATGGGGTTTTCCAAACCTGTGATGACATAAAAGTATAGTGCCTGTGATGCTGAGCATGGATTCTTAGATTCAAAAATTCAATTTACATTGAAAATAAAACAAAATTACACCAATTCATTTAAAATTTCTACCACCCGTTCTTTCTAAGGAAATAGCATCAGAAGGATTAATTACATCAGCATTATGTTATACTCACCCAATACGTATTGCTGCTTGAGTTCATGTGTAGATGATTTCAAAGCTGCAGAAATCACTTTTTAAGTTCTACTAGGTTAATCATATATCTCCTTCTCATAGTTACTGGTGCAGTTACCCCTTTAAGTGGCTTTCCAGCACTATTGCTTTATAATAAAATGTTCCAGAGTGTCTATATATAAACTGAAGCTCAACTTGTCCATGCAAACTAACTTGTTGCATATGTATTGCAAAGAAATTCCATTTCGTCAGTTGATTTATTGTTGTATCAAAAGAAATAAACTCTTGAACCCCAGGGGGAAAAAATTATGCTGTTTCATTCTACTTATGATGTTTCAACATAGGCCAAAAAATAACCAGGCTTATTTTCTCCAGTGAGGAAACTGAAATGAAAGCCAAAAAAAGTAAAATTTTGGTCAAAATCAATGTTTTTATATACTTTTAATTTTAAGAACTGCTCTTCTTTCTGAAAATGCGCAAGCTTCATTTCATAAGTTTATCTTTTCTAGAAAAGTATTGCTAAACCATTTGTTCTTTAAAATATATTGTATATATTAAGAAAGAGGATGATAGGTAAAAAAAGGAATTAGATGAAGTAATGAATTTCTTTCTAGCTAATCCTTTTAGTGAAATATTTGCTTAAACATTGGACTTGGTTGAAGCAGTGTAACTGTCCTTGCTATTTTTCATCATCTGTGTTTAAAGCTCTATACAATAACACTAACAGAAGCAGCATCAATAAAAAATAACCATTATGAAATATTTGTATGTTTTCTGCAAAGTCTGAAAAAAAGTAACATTTAAATTTCTCAATCTAAAAGTAGCGACTATTATCCCATTTTAGAGAAGAGTCTGAGGCTTAGAGACGATAAGTAGCTTGCTTCAGGTTATAAATCTAGCAGATGGCAGTCAGAACTTTGAAGCACTTCATCTGACTTTAAAGCTCATGGATGAATTGAATTACTCACATTCCTGTGTTCCCTTTCTCTTGCACAGGAAATCAGCCAATTGGCTACTCAATGAGCTAGATGACCAAAATTGTCTTTATTATTATTTTATTTCAAGTTGTTGTTCTTTCCCACCCCTCTCCCCTACCCTCTCACGACCATCTGGGTGGGGAGTACTGCCATTAAAAATGCAAGTGTGACTTTCAAAAAGGGTATTTGCATGATTAGCAAGGCTAATAGAAGATCGAGTTACTGTAGCTGATTAACTCTACTATGGTTGTCAAACAAAAGAAAGGGGTAAGGAATATCAAATGGAAAAAAAAAAATGTCTAAATTAGATTCTCAGTTTCCCAGAATGTGACATATGAAGACTTCTCTAAGGAAGAAAACACATTAGTTCTCTGAGTGATGGTACTTGAAGTTGTTTCAATACGTTATTCAGCTTTATGCTGTGAAGCAACTTACAGTACTCCAATTGTTTACTCACTCAGCTACATGTAAAATGTGTACTTAGGAATGCTTTATAATAAGATATGCAACAAAGTCTGTCTTATTTAACTGCACTGATTAGAAGGGGCAAGCATTTCATTTTGGCACAGTGTGGTGCACTACATCATTTCATCTCGTTTGAAATATTACTCAGAGTTCAGAATGCCAAGCTTTGAGCAGAGAAGAACAATGTGTGGTTTTTTTAAAAAATAAAATAACAATAGTGATGATGAGAAGAGAATGAAATAATGCAATTCTTGATTCTGTCAGATGGCAACTAGTTCGGGGGTGGGGAGGGAAGTAAGTCCCATGATGTTGCCATAACAGAATCTAAAAAAAACCTTCCGAGATTACAAAAGAAGCAAAGTTTAAATCTACCCTGTAGGAGTGCGGGTCACCAAAGCACTCGGTGACTAAATGAGAAAGACTCGAAGAAAATGTCTGTGAGAAGAGCTACTGGTAAGGAAGAGAAAAAAAAATGCCAGGCAGCCTGAAAACAAACCTGACCTTAACGGTGACCATATCCAAAGTATAGCAGAAAACCTCCTTGAGCAAAGCCAGGGCAGTGAAGAAAACAATAAAAAGCTATGTGGAATCACTTATGCTTATTTTTTATTGGAAATAATGTATTTGGTTGGCGACCCTTGAGATGTGTTACTGTCCACCTATATGAGTTCCAGATTTTGCTCCAAAAAGAAGGGACATCTACTCCTTTTTGAATATAGAATGAGTCCATTTATCTGAAGATAAAACTCACGTTAGAAAATTGTGGTCTGTTGCCTCATTCTGTCTCATCTTTAGGTGAAGAAAATGATGTCCAAACAAATTGAATGACTGCTCAATGCCATTACCATGCCATTAGTGTAATCACCAGTCCATACTGTACTTGCAGGGTGTGTGTGTGAGTGTGTGTGCACGTGCACACCACAGCAAGGTAAATTGTATTTTAATCCCTTCATGCTAAATCATATATTTATATTTTCACACTTTTACAATTTTAAAATGTAAGAGCATTTACAATTAATTTGTACATTTAAAGAAACCATGTTTTAGTTTTCTTTTATTCTTTTTTGCTTCCTCCCTCCCTCCCTTCCTTCCTTGCTTCCTGCCTTCCTTCCTTCTTTCCTTCCTTTCTTCCTTCCTTTCCTACCTCCCTTCCATCTTCCTTCCTTTCTCACTTTCCCTGTTTTATTTCCCCCCACTAAGAAAGCCATTGTTAAAGCTAAGATCCCTTTTACATTCTTCCCTTTGCCAGACAAGTAATTTCTAGACCGAGATCTAAACCAGTAACACAGAATACCTAATAAGCAAATCATGATTATGATGGAATTTTCAACAGAATATCACTACCAGTACAGCTAAAAGTTTTTCTTGTTTAATCATTTCAAATCCACTGAAGCATTAGCTATACAATGATTAGAACACATCTTTCCTAAGTATAAAGTGTTTTCTTCACTCTATCACATTTATCATTTTAATTATTGTTTTCATCCACCAACAATGATTTAAGTTACAGAAAAATACTATGATGCATCTCTCACCTTTAAGCTTCTGGTCAGTACCAAGTAAAATTGAAACTAAGCCAGTATTTTGTAAATTGCATCAGTGTAGATAATTCATGTTTTATGAAGATTAGACTTGTATAGAAAGTTGTTTTAAAATTATTACACTTAATTAGTTGCTAAAGTATATTTTAAATAATATATTATAGAGTAAGCTTCAAAGAGTGTTCACACACATTTGCAACAAATCCAGAAAGTGTGGGTAAAGAGTTTTGTGGGCTCAATTTAAAAGGCAATAAAATGAGATCAAGTTAACAAAGAAAACATATGTATTTACTTAGCTATACAAATTTTAGGTTATTTTATTAGTATGTTCATATGATACAAATTCTTTCTAAAAACCATCTCAATACAACTTCGTAAGGTGCCTCATTGCATGAGTGGGAGAGTGAGGAAGGAAGAAACCAACACTGACCATTTATTTTTGTTTCATTTTCTTCTATATTAGCATTCATATTTTATGTGTGCACTTCCTTTGAAAATTGCAATTTGTTTAGCTTTCAGCCACTTTAAAGATTAGAACCATATCTTATCCACTGAATTTTACAGTTAGTATAAGACTGATTTTTGAGTA
Organism: Homo sapiens; assembly: GCF_000001405.40. Classification (NCBI taxonomy): domain Eukaryota; kingdom Metazoa; phylum Chordata; class Mammalia; order Primates; family Hominidae; genus Homo; species Homo sapiens. The sequence continues at coordinate 155,844,174 of NC_000002.12, forward strand.
GTTTTAGGAGAAATAATAATCTCTCTTTTCCTGATTCTAGCAGATAAGGATACTATTGATTTATTAAAATGCCAATGCTAATTGATAAATCCAAATATTGTTGGTCAAACGAACGGTACAACATTGAGATACTTGCAAAAAGTTTATATTCCTTCTAAAGAGAAATCTCTACCTAGGAATTTTTCAGATTGGGTATATGATGCAACTTTTATGACCGAAAGTTATCTTTTTGCTTGCTTTCTGTTGCAGATTTAAAGAAAGAATATAACTGCAACCATTCTGTGCTTATCAGACACCTATTTTCTCCAAACAGTCTTCCAAATGAAACAATACAGATCTATTAGTGTAATTATCGCATAAGGTCATTTACCACTTTATAATTGCTGCAGGTTGTGAATGATGTATGAAATGAAAGCATCTGCAGTGCAAATAGAACATAGGCAAGAATGTGCTGTGTGCTAATTAGGTAACCATCTCATGATAAGACCCTAGGGAAAGACAGAATGGCAAAATCCCACAGTGCTCTGCAGTCACAAGGCAAGAAAACATTCCTAAGGAGTTCAAAAATATATCCATTATTAAGTATAATCCTTTCCTCTCTTCAGAATCTCTGAGCTCTGTTCCCTGCGTGCACACAACCCTTCTGTCTCCTTCATCCTGTGCAATGCTAATCAAGCCCTGACAGTCAAGAACCATTTGATTGTTGTGAGAACTGCTCTCTTTATTCACATTAAAAATTGAGGACTCAATCTTTTATTTGAAGAGTCTTGATAAGTTTCGGTATTTTACTGTGTTTTTTCCTGGCCCTTTCTATTGGCCTTTTTGTTTCGAGAATGGCACATTATGGAATAAGGATGTTAAGGCTCAGTCATTATGATAGGGGACTATAGGGAAGGGAAAAGCATGGTCCCTTTAAATGGCACGAAGAGGGGAAGGGAAGTGCTGGGTAGAGAAGGGTGGTCTCTGGCTAGGGCTCCACCCCCACAGACCTTAGGTGAGGACAGGCATTTCCTGCCCAAATGTTGCATTTCCCAAGACCACCCTGGCCTGCCAGGCCCCCATCCTGGGCCTATAAAAACCCGAGACACTAGCAGGCAGACACACAAATGGCTGGACGTTGTGAGGAACACATTGGCAGAAGACACAAGCAGCTGATCATGGAGAGCACACCTGGCGGAAGCATGCGGACAGCCCCTGGTCGGCCTGATGGCAGACCATTCACCAGCAGAATGCCGCAGAGTTTGGCCAGAGCAGTCCGCCAGGCTAGGTGGCCAGACTCCAGGGGAAAACCATCTTTTTTCTGGCTCCCCTCTCTGCTGAGAGCTACTTCTACTAAAAAACAAAACAAAACAAAACAAAACAAAACAAAAAAAAAGCCTTGCACTCATTCTCCAAGCCCACGTGTGATCCGATTCTTCAGTACACCAAGGCAAGAAACCCCCGGATACAGAATTCCTTCTGTCCTTGTGATAAGGAAGGGGGTCTAATTGAGCTGGTTAACACAAGCTGCCTATAGACGGCAAACTGAGAGAGAACCCTGTAACACACACCCACTGGGGCTTCAGGAGCTGTAAACATTCACCCCTAGACACTGCCGTGGGGTTGGAGCCACACAGCCTGCCTATCTGTATGCTGCCGTAGAGGTCTGAGCCGTAGGACACTGAAGAAGTGAGCCACAGTCCCATGGCAAGCCTTTCGAAGGGGACACGGGAAACTTGCGTTTCAATTACAGCCTCAACTTAGCGGGGAATGAATGAAGTTCATGTTACTTAAAGCAAAACCCTTCTTTCTTTATGCAGCAATCTAACAAATTTAGATAAAACGAAATACATAGGCCAGGAAAAAAATGTAATAACAAACTGAGTTCTTAATTCTTAAATATCCAGCTGAGTGTTTTATGTGGGTGAACTACAAATTTCAAGAGTCTGACTGAAACTGAGCACCTGACAAATACATTGAACAATTTGACCAAATTAACCAGTTGGATGTTCTTTCTTCTCTGCTTTCACAATGCACTACTAAAAATGTTTGTTTAATTGTCAGCTGTCCCCATTTGGGTAGAGAGTATTTAATTCTATAAAGCTACCTACCAAAATGCATAATCTATTCATTCTGTATACCAACAATTGCAATTACTTTCTCTTTATGTGTCTGTTTGCTATTTATATAATATTTTCCCCATATCTTGCTTTCTTCTTGAGTGCCACATGATGTACTTTTTATGATGTCACCCTGTCACTTCCCATTGCCACTCCAGTACAATGGGGTTACTATGAACTTGTCTTTAATGACAGCATTTGACCTTGTGGTTAGCTTCTTGCCTTTCTATTTACTGCTATTTGTGACTCATAAATGTTACTAATCAAATGTGTCTACATGCTTCACACAACAGATTCAAGATCTTTGGTAAACTACTCTAGTCTGGAACTTTTGTCTACACTGATTTTTTTCTGCCAATCTTCTAATTGATGGGGTCTTTGTCTTGATAAATTTTCTCTAGGTTTTTGCTACTTCATGGTTACTTAAATAAGCAGAACTTAATACTTAATGCTTACTGCTTTTTATTCTGTGGCATCAGTTTTTAGATTGTGAATGCAGTTTCCCAAATGTTGGTTGTTTATGCAGACAGGGTAAACATTTCTAAACTACATTTTTTATATGTCTCCTATAAGGGTTAGTCATTTTTTTAATTAAAAAATATGTATTGCATGCCTACTATGTGACAGAAATAGGTATAAATTCTCAGACATAGGGGAAAAAGGAGAGAATGTCATTATTATCACAGAGTTTACACTACAGGTAGAAGAAAACCAAAAAATAAACAAGAAGGTTCTCAGGTAGTTGTAAGTATTTGGTAGAAAATTATGAGTGCAATGCGATAGTGAATGCAAATTTAGACTGAGGATTTAAGAAGGTATCTCTGAGGATGTGATATTTATGCAAAGATCTGAATGACACAAAGGAGCTAGCCGTGATAAAATCTATGGGAAGAACATTGCAAGTCAAAGGAAGAGTTAGTGAAAAGGTCAAAAGGCAGAAATAAGCTTAGTTCCCTTAGAAGTTCCTAGAAGGTCTTAAGCCTGGAAATATGTATACAGTGTAACATTTTAAAATATATCTCAGGCTACAGTGGGAAGAGTTGAAGAATCAGGGAATAAACAACAGGATTCTTAGTTAATTGTTGCAGTAGTCCAAGAAAGAGAAGATGATGGCTGGAACTAGGGAAGCTGGAGATAATTGAATGCATTTGGAATATATCTTGCAAGTAGAATTAACCGAACATGCTTATAGAAGAGATGGCAAGAAAACTAATGAGAGTAATACAGGATAATTCCAAGAATTTTGATTATCAACAGATAGATGTGAGTCCATTTACACAGACAGGAAAGAATAAGGGAGGAATCTGTTCTTGGGCGGGGGGGGAGTAAAAGTTTTGCTTAAGATATATTTTGACTTATAAAGCCTTAGAATCATGCCTGTAGGAATGCCAAATTAGCACTGGAGATAAATTTAAGTTTTATTGGAACCCTAAGACTAAAAAAACTTGCCTAAGGAGTTTATCTAGATAGAAAAGACAAAAGAGAGCAGATCAATGCACCAAGGGCCCTCCAATGTCAGAGGTGGAGGACAGGAAGCAAACAAAGAAGTAGAAAATATCGTGATATCTCCTGGCTAACACGGTGAAACCCCGTCTCTACTAAAAATACAAAAAATTAGCCGGGCGTGGTAGCGGGCGCCTGTAGTCCCAGCTACTCGGGAGGCTGAGGCAGGAGAATGGCGTGAACCCGGGAGGCGGAGCTTGCAGTGAGCCGAGATCGCGCCACTGCACTCCAGCCTGGGCGACAGAGCGAGACTCCGTCTCAAAAAAAAAAAAAAAAAAAAAAAAAAAGAAAATATCGTGATATAGTATCCCTGAAGCCAAATTTAAAAAAGCATTTCAAGAAAGAAGGAAAGGTTTGTTATGTTGAATGTTTGGGAGAGGTTCAGAAAATGACAGTGAAGTGACAACTTGATTTGGAACACGGATTTATTTATGACCTTGCTAAGGAAAATCTGAGCAGAGTGATGGAGACCAAAGTCCAGCTGGGTTGTGTTGAAAGAGAATATATGGAAAAGAAGTGATTTTAGTCAATCATTTTAACAAAAATTTTCTGCAAAGTTGAATGGGGAAATGGGATAGAAGTTGAACAGCAATATAGGCAAGGGAGCCTTTTGCCATCCAGGGTATCGCATATTTGTGTGCTAATGGAAGAGATCCATAAAGGAAGAAATTGATGTTGCTGGGGAGAGGCAGGACTGACCTTTATTACATCTTGTGAATTCTACAACTTTTTGTCACTTTCATTCACTAAACCTGATTTTAGGCTAATTTAAAACTTTAGTTTCTATTTGATTCAAGAGAAGGATCTGTGCCTTTTCCTTTTTCCGGCTACTTGAAGGGCATAAAGAATTTGAAGTAATGAGACTAGTATCTGGGTTTTCCTGTTAGGCTTGCTTCTTCTTTGGGGTCTGGCACCTCTGAGGTTGGAGGCAAGGAGGACAGTGAAGTAGAAAGGAGCTGCACGTCCATTTGGAGGTATCCCTGGTTTTCTTCCAGATCTTTAATTCTTAGAAGGTTTTCTTGAAAATGGTATTTAGCTTTACCCCAAGACTCTGCCACATGGGAGGACTTCACAGAGGGGAAATCCTGGATTCCTTCAACCCTGGTGGTTCTCCACATCTACACTTTCTCTCTGGAAAAGCTTCACTTCACATGGGCTGCCCAACATAACTTTCCTCTCTTCTCACCTCTCACCTCCTCACATCCTTCAGAGAGCCGTAAAAACTGACAGGTTTTCCCTCTTACACTCTAAGAGCTGAGGATAAGTAAGTTGACTTTGATTTGCTCCCATCTTCTTCATAGGCATAATACATTATATTTGCCTTCAGAAATATGCAGATAAGAAGCAGAGACCAGGTCTAAGTTCATATTCTCCTTTGGTCATCAGGGAACATATCTCAACTCTCCCTCTTCCAAGAATACTGTTATAATTTGTGCTTCAATTTACTATAAATTTTATAACTTAGCAAGCATTCAACCAGGTAAGCAGATTTTCAGATTTTTTTTTCTTCTTTTCGGCACCTGCAATCTCCATGAATGATTCTCCTAAAGATTCATTCTTCTTTATCACTTCGCTTGTGTAGAGAGAACTACTTTACCATATAAATGATGCACTTTTCGAAAAATTTCTCTCCATTCTCTCCAATCATCTCACAAAGACTCCAGAGGAAGGTAAGATGGTGGCTCAGTGCCAATAGCAGTAGGAGTATATAGCCAGAAAATGAGCAAGTTTTCCAACAAAATTGTTGGAAGCTTGATTCTGTGGATCTTTGTGCAAAAAGATACCTTACTAAAAGAGCAAATGGGGACTAAAATCTATTCTGTTTAGTGCTGATGAAACCTCAGGTCATGGAGCAGAGCTACAGCTGTACAAGGGATGCCTCCTCTAATTCACTGTAAGTAGGTATGAGTTAGTGCTGCCATGCTTACAATTTTTCTTTTCATCCATGGGCCAATAGCATACTTCACAGGAATAGGAAACATCCCAATCAAAATCCTTTTACACTATGTATATGCATACTCATATGACTTTCATGTTTATCAAGCCATTCTGGAGTCTACTTTAAATATCATTTAGCATTAGGGTGGAATTAACCTGTAAATAAATAAATCTTCCTTCATTCAACTGAAACTGATTGTGTATAATATTTGAAAGTTTCTATTATAGAAAAACAATAACAACAAAAAATAGTCATTTAAAAGACTCAGGCAGCAGTGTGTAGAAACTCTAGTTCTGATATTTACTTACTAGATTACCTTGGACTATTTATTTAACTTCATTGAATTTTAGTGTGTTCAAGTATAAAGTGAAGCTCTTAATGCTTATTTCATGAGATTAATTTGAGACTTAGTGAAATAATTATGTAAAACATCTAGTATAATGTCTGGCAATATGATGCATGTATAATAAGTGATGAGTATTTTTATTAACACTCACTGTATTTAATGAAGCCTTGAAAATTATGCCCTGATAATCAACTTTGTTAAACTGTAAGCTATGTGATGGTAGGAACCATGTCTTATTTATTTGCGTATATAATATCTGCCACATTGTAGGAAAACTATAAATACCTGATGAAATAAATGAAAGGGAATTCTTTGATGGAACTTAAAAGCAGCAGAGCCAAAGCACAACCAGATATTCAGTTACTCATTTTTCCACACCAATTGCTGGTAGCAAGCCACCAATTTACCAGCAAGCTGGTATCAATTTAAGGTAGCAAGCCAACTTAAAACTTTGGTATTTAAAACAGCACAATATTCATTTTGCCTACAAATAACAATTTGGGCAGACCTTGGTTGGGACTACATACTCTAGTTAGTGTCAGCTGGGGTTATTCAAAGCTGGGGGCCAGAATCCTTTGAAGGCTCACAAATTTACAAGCTGGTCTCTGGTCTAGAAAGATTTAAATCGCTGAGAGCTGGACAACTTAGTAGCATTCCTCTTTATCTCTATGTGGTCTTTCCAGCCTGATGGCTTCTAGCTCAGAGCTTCCAAGGCATGAGTCCTGAGAGAGAAAATGCCAGGCAGAAGATGTACCATGACTGAGATCCACTTGCACTATATTCTCTTCATCAAGTTGTAGAACAGAACATATTATTGCGGACTGTTTTGAAAATACAATCTATGAAAATCTCATTGGCAATATTGTTCTGTAATTGATCTAAGGTAATCTAACCAGCATTTTGTGACTAAGAGCAATGAAATACTTTGAGCATTATACCTTTCCTGTTTACAATGACAGTAATGCCTGCAAAATCCTAAGGCACATTTTCTTCAATACACCGTAAGTGCAGGTCATAACAAGTCATAATTTTCCAGATATCTTTTCTCTGAACTCCTTGGTCAATTTAGGTGCTTACATTTGCCTCTATCTGCACACCTTCTGCTAGAATCAACATCCACCGGTACACATCAAATTAAATATTCTGAATTTCATTGTTTATTCAACAATAACAACAATCACAAAATAAAAACGGAAAATAAAAAATAAAGAGAGGGGGGAACTTATGGCTTGAAAGAGTCTTAAGAGACATGAAAACTATTTATAATAATAGACCTACTAGGTCCTTGATTTAAATAAACAAAAGAAAAAGGTTAGATAACTGGGAAATTTGAACTCTGACTCAACATGTGACAATTCTAAGCAATTTTTTAAACTTTTACAAATTATAATAATATTATATGTTTAAATTATAAGACTGTATATTTTAGTGATAAATACTAATTGAATGATATGAATGAGATGATGTCTGAGATGTACTTCAAAATAAACCAGGGGCAGAAAATGGAGTAATTTAGATGGAACTGTGCACACTTTAATAATTGTTGAATATGGATGATAGGGATATGGAAAATTCATTGTTACCTTATTTTTTACTATGTTTGAAATTTTTTTATTTTAAAAAGTTTGTTTGACTTGTTTTTAAGTTCTGATTTAGAGCTGGAAATCTGTCTCAGAACTTCTGGTCTTAATCTTATCAATGTTTAACTGGTGCCTTGTTTTTCTCAGACCTCCTCATATGGGCTTCATACTTTTTTATTTCAGTATGGAATAGAGATTAGAATCAAATCCACTGATTATATTCGTCATTGTTTCACAATTGTCCAATTTGCTATAATCATTGCTTATGTTGACTTTGTGCTCTTGGAAATCCCAAAAGGCTTACCTTTCTGATCCTTACCCCAACCTCACAAGCTTAACCTCGGTCTATATTGGATAACTACTGTTCAAAATATTTGTTGCCCTTCCTTGTTGAAAAATAATCCATCCCTACCCATTGCCATCAAATTTGGTCATAGAACTTGCTTTGCCCAGTAGAATGTGAGGAAAGATGTGTGTGATACTTCAAAGATAGGTTATCATGTGATTCTAATATTTTCTTTTCTCCCTGACACAAAACCAGCAATGTTTCAGATAGCAGCTGCTACCTTCAGCCTGGATTCCAGAACAGATGTGACTTAGAACAGAGACATAGCCAACCCAGAATGGATATATAGTTAAAATGAGGAAATAATTTGTTATAAGCCACTTGCTTTGAGGCTGTTTGTTACTGCAGCATAACTTAGCCTAAGCTGCCTGACACAAATTCTGTCCAATCAGCATTTGCTATGGCTTGCTCAGTCCTGGATACACTTTTCCACCCACAACAATCCATCATCTACAAACTAACCTGGTTAAGTTTGATGTTAGATATAAAATGAGGTCCTAGTTTTATAATTAATGACACGATCATCATAATCTAGATAACTTCATTTGCAATGTCAAAGAGATCTGAGATTAACGTTTATCTGTGTATATTCATAGCCAGCTAATCTCTGCAAGAAATTGTTTTGTGATTATTGGTATTATTGTGTTAAGTTGGTAAAATAATGAGCTCAGTTTATTATATGTTCTTAAATATCTGGAAACAAGTATTAGAATACTGAATAATAGAAAGTGAACTTTAACAGCAATAAATATTATTGCTCAAGTTTTCATCTTTTTGGTACAAGCACAGTGATAGTCCATTAAAATGAGGAATGTGCTACTTCTCTTTTAAGTCAAGAATGCCAGATTAGTTATGCATGAAAAATAAAGTAGTATTTTATATCAGTCAAGACAGACTAGGTAACAAACAACCACAAAATCTCGGTGGCTTAGCATCTATAATTTATTTTTGGTTCATGCAAAGTGTGCTATAGGTCAGGACAGTTGTCCTTTTGGGCAGTTGTCCTCTGTGTGGCAACATAACAATCTAACCTGTTTGAATTTTGCTGCTTCGCCCTCTCAACAAATAATTTTCATGATTAGAATTGAAGAAATTTTGACTAGAGAATGTTGCTCCAGGGGCTTTTCATTGCCTCCACCTGGGATGGATACATTTCATTGGCCAGTTGGTCACCTGGCCTTACCTAAAGTTATGCAAGCTAGCTCAGCGGACTCAAAAAGAAAAGGGATATTGATGAACAGCAGTAATGTCTATGACATGCTCCTTTCATGTTTTAAATAATATAAAAAGACAGCCTACTAAGGGATGGTTACATTGATGGAAATGGAAAGAGAGAAAGGTTGCCCACAAAAAATTTAATTCTAGGGTCATCGAATTCCCACCTGTATGCAAAATAAAATAATGAAAGAAGTGTTTTACCATCAATGCAGTAAGATTACACCAAATTATACAGTACCATCTCCCACTACTGTATTTCTCTCAATAGAAAATAGGATCTATATCACTGGAAGAATAGAGTTGGCAATAATAACAATAACGACAATAATAACAACAATATTGTTAGCTAACATTTGTTGAGGGCTTATTCTATGTTGGTCATTATTTAAAGAGCTTTACAGGAACTATTTTATGTAAAATGTCCTAAACAGAGAAGATCTGGAAAACAGTTACTACTTACCTAGAAAGGTATATTTCAAATCTTTTAGCAATAACTAATAAAGTCAAAATTGCTTCAAAGAAAACATGAATGACAATGACACCAAGGAACGTCTGATCTTAATGACAATATCTTAGTCTATATAGTAGTTTTCATATTTCTTTACATTCTCTTATGATTTGGCAGTAGTTCAAGGATAACATATGTGCATTCCAGTGCTCCAAGTATTTTTGAGTCTGTGCTAACATAAAATGTGCTTTCACCTCACCAACTTTGTGCTATAATACCAACTGGGGAATATTCTCATGTATGTCAATCAGACATAGGGTAGACACTAGATATCTTAATCCTGTCTTAGGTCGGCATGTGGGTGGATGGGGGGAGAACTTAAACAAAGAAATTAGAAGACTGTCTAAGCCCTTATAAAAAATAAGGGAAGAGGCATACAAAACTCAGTACAGTAAGGTGGAGAAGAATATGATAAGGAGGACACACAAGCACCTGTAAAAGGTATTGGTAAACTTTTACTTCTTAAGCTGGTATGGGGTATATAGGTATTTTTTATTTTAAAATGCATATATGCTATACACATTTGCATAGCATAATTTCACAAACAGAAGAAAAGTTTTTTGTGGGCAAAAACCTATACAAACACAAAATCACAGCTATATTTGTTTCCTCAAATCACCTTATAAATTTATTTTTGCAATGTTGAATAAAATACTTCAGGAGAAGGTGATAATTCAAAAAATATTTTCAGGCATAGTGACAATTTTCATTGATAGGTAGTTACACACAGTGGAAATATGTCAGAATTAATTGGGTTTGAATTAACAGTCAATCCCCAACACTAAACTATCAGGTACAGATTTTATGAGTGAAAGCACTCTTGTGACTTCTAACTTGTCTCTCTGGGTTTTCTGGCTGTCCATTAGATATATCCTTAAGGCTGATGCCAGTGTACCTTTGGAAAATGCAGATCTGACGCCTGATTCCTGCTTAACATCCTTCAGGGTCACTTGAATTTCCATGGAATGGTATCAGGGCCCTTACCTTCATTTTAAGGTTTACCTTCCTCTACTCTCATCATGTGATAAAAATGTACTCAGCCACATGCCGTCTCTCTCCCTTGCTTTTTTCTTTTTCAACTTCCTGCTTTCATATGCTGGACTCTTTTTCAGGTACGTCCTTCTCCACCTTATCTGCCTGGCAAACTGCTACTCACGGTGTAAAATTTAGCTCAATTCCTTACCTCTTCTTAAAAATTCTCCTGACTTTTCTAAGTGGATTTCAATACTTGCTCCTTAAGCTCTCCCAGCCCTTGCCTGCACCTCCATAGTTACACTTAATGCATTTTGTTTGAATCTGTCTCTCCCACTGGAATGGGAGCAAAATGAGAGTTAAGCCCTATTCTATTCATTTTTGTATACTTAGGGTTTAGAATAGTTACTGAAACATACTGGGCACTTAATAAAAGTTTATTAAGTGAATGACTAGAAATGGACGTAGATAAGAATCTTTAGAGCTAAATGTGCAGAATCTCCAATACAACTGAATCTGGTTTCCCTCAAGTTTGATTAAATAATTAGCAAATGAGTCATATTATTTCTTGCTTAACATGATAATGATCTTCTCCTTATATCTCACCTAATGACTTATACTGTGGTTTACATGGATTTCATGTGTCATGAACTGGGCACTAGGTTGATGCTTTGCATGCACTCCTCTAGTCTTCACATCAGTCCTTCTAAAATGAACATTGTTATCCCCATTTCACGGAGAAAACCTAAAGTCTGGAATAATTGGGTAACTTATCCAAAATAAGATAGCTAAAAATTGGTAGACTCAACCTCCGACTATTCTCCAGATGGGTATAGTATAACTCTACTGCACAAGAAAATGTACCAGGGATTATACAGGTATGATGATTTTTCAATCTTCAATAACACAAACCACTAGCAAGCCTGGGTGATTTATTCCCAGATAACCTATTCTCAGACTACAGATTTTCCCAAGGGCCTGTTCCTACATCCATGATGGAAGTATGTGAAGACCTTGAATCTAGAAGCAGGAAGATCATCTCCCTTTAAAATTAAAGTCTGCATTTCTGAACTATGGGAAAGGAAAAATGTTTTAGTAACTCATTTTGAGAGTTTTCGTTTATACAGTCTGGGTAAACACTTCCATTTTGGTCATCAATATTTGCTGTCACTTCCCTTAAGAATAACAAAAGTCTAAAGCTTCTGGCTTTCTACTCACATTTCAGTAAGTAAAACAAAATAGCCTATATTTTGTCTAGTGTGATCCCTAGATGGAGATTCAGATCCATTACTTTATCATTTTTTAAAGTAAAATTGTTTCACAACCATATCTAGATCATTCTATTTCTAATAAAATATTTGATCACTCCTGACAATTCTGAAAGGTCTATGAAACTTTGCTTTTTACCTGTGTTTGAGCCTATAGAAATCATTTATTTAAACTTTGTCCTTATTTTCCTTTGCTAAAGCAATAAGGAACAACTTATCTTTGTTTTTTTAATGGGTAGTCTTTTGTTCATTGACTGGAAGATGATTATCAATTCAATTGACTGTTTAGTTTATTGAATGTTGGTGATTTATAAAATATTGTGTATAAAATGCATAATTAAAAGATATATACAAGAAAGATGTCCAAAGACAAATCTCCATAACTAAAATAGAAGACCTGTCTATAACTTTGAGGGTATAAATCCAATAAAAGGCAATGTGCTCCAAAGTAGCTATATTCATGCATGAAGTGCTTAATGAAATATGCTATTTCTAGTACAAATAATTGCCTTTGTTTCCATCATCTTGACTGGTGCATCATAGCAACCTACAGAATAGTGTACATTTTATCCTGAACTACAATCAGGCAGTTCATAAAACTAATGGAAATGAAGATTTTGCTGTTTGAAGTGGTCAAATTTCCATTTTCAAACACAACACAGGTTATAACCACTGATGGTATTTGGGTTTGCTTTTGAGTTTTAGGATAATAGCATATTATAAAGAAAATCTACCAATTTTTTTCAGTTGAACTATGAGAGAAAAAGGCCCATTATCTGCCTGGAAGAAAAGCAAACGCACATGGTGTTTTTAAATCAAAAATATATATTTGTTTGTAGCTATGTGCTATTTGCAAATTTAAGATCATTAGTCCTGCTTAAGAGACCAGAGAATTTGTACAAGCAGATAAAATTCTTTCTTCTCTTACTTTTAAATCTATTTTAGAAATAAAAAAATTTTTTAAAAAGCAGTGTGAGAGAGCACTTTTTCTTCCTATTTCAGTGGTCTGTGATCCATAAAATCTAAGTGGTTATTTAGAACAATCCAACCTGAATGGATATATGTTGTTACATATCTTTGCCTTTCTAATAGTTTTCCTTCTGAATATTCCTTCCACCTATCTTTCTCTGTATGTAATTGAAAACCCCAAAGGCTTTCTTCTACTTCAACTCAAATCCCACTTCTCCTTGGAGTACTTCACCACCTAAACCTCCTAACCCAGTGATCTTATTTATTCAACAAATACTTTGGAAGAGACAGCCTAAAGATCGTCCTCCATAACCTCTACTCAAGTTAGGAAAAATTTGCTACAAGATTCCTAACATATTTAACTGTTGGTTGAATCCTTTCAACTATGGGGAGCTCATTTCTTTGTGAAGCACCAGTTCCTAAAACATCTTCCCCCTAGGTAAGCTAAAATCTACCTGCCTGTAATCTTTATGTATAGGTCTCTGTTCTGCTTCTTAAGAACAGACTGAAGTGATTAAATCCCTCTTTCAAGTAATGGTCCTTCAAAAAGTTGACAAAAGGTGTCGCGTTTCACTCCTGCATTAGCTCCAAGTCAAAATAGAAGACCTGTCTTATATGCCCAATTTCTTCCACTAATCTCCATTAGGTACACATTCTAGTTACCCCATAATGTTGATCTTCTTCCACATACACTTCAGGTAAGTGATATTCCTTTTTAAAATATCACTCTAATAACTGCTCTGTATTTTGATATTAGTGGTGTTTATGTGATCTTATACACTTACCAAGACATCAAACTACATTCAAAATGTGTGAATTTTTAGGAAATATAAATGATACCTCAGTAAAAAACAAAGATACTGGGGCAAAGATATTCACCTAAATGGAACACGGTACCTCAGAAATATAATCAGAAAATAATGCACCGAAGCTCGCAACTCTCTGTTTCTGGACACCATTTTTCTTTTTAAATTTTTCATCCACAATAATACTGGTAAATATGCAGTCAAGAAAAATTGCAAGGATCTTCTACCATTTGTGGAAAATTATACACAATTAATTTTATAGGCCAAACATAATTCTAAACATACATTCCAGATTTATTTCTTTTTAACTTCTATGTATCTTCAATGTTCATTCATTCACTCAGCACACATTTATGGAACCTATATTATAAGCCAAGGTAAACAAAAGACTTATGTACCCTGCCCTCTTATAGCTTACAGCCACTTGCAGGGAAATAGTGTGAAACAAAAGCAAGAGAACAAGAAAAATAATTACCATTTGTATTAATGTAACGGGGGATGGGTGCTGAGATAAAGAATAGCTTGAGAAGATGGGTAGACAAACCCAATTTAAACTGAAAGTTTAAGGAAGATAACATAAAGGAATTCACATTTAATTTACAACTTTAAGGTTATGTTACAAGAAGCAATGAGGGGAAGATGTAGAAAAATCATAATATAGGCCAGGAAAACAGAGCTTAGCTTGTTTGAGGAAAAAACTGACTGCCAGAACTGTAAGAGTAACATGGAAGACATGAGCAAGAAATACAGGAGGAGAGTTAGGCTGTACTAAATCATGTAGGCTATCATAAAGGAACAGATTTTTTTTCCTATATGCTTTAAGAAGCCATTATCAGATTTTCAATAGAAGAATGATATCATCCAAATGCAAATTTTACAAAAATCACATCACCTGATGTGTATGTAATAGATTGGATGTTGACAAGAGGAGAAATGAAAACACATCAATACAAATATAGAATATAGAACAGGGATAGGCCTGGACCACAATACTTGAGACCTCCTCTTAGATCAAGATATGTCATCACCTTTTAAATAGGATTATTCAACCTACGTTCTCAAAAGTGTAATGCACACACTTTTTGGGTATGCAAAATGATCCTTTGAGATAAGAAAAGAATAATATGAAATTTCTATTTATGTTAATTTTATCCCTTAAAATATTCTGAGACATTTGTTGCCTACTTCATAATATACATATTGTACTACCTTCATCCTTATATGTATTACATATAAGCACATGTATAATAAGGGAGAAGCTTTAAAAGTTATGTTGATATAAATTTAACCAGCTGATACTCCATTTAAACTATGATCCAGTGTGTGTGTGTATCTCTTGTCCATAAGTCTGTGTCATACATATTTGCTTGAGCCTTCCTCTCTCAAACAATATGGCTATAATGGCTTTAGATCACTACACATTTCTGTTAGTAGTAACAATTCTAGGTTCCACTCTGTTTTGTATTTAAACTCTTTAGGAAGGAAAGAAATGATTACAAAAGTTTAAGCATTGCTGAAAAGTGAATGGTCATATAGTCATCTTTAAAATGACAGAAATATTGAACAATTTTTAAATTATTAGCCACAATTAAAAGCATAATACAATTTATAATTACCCCCAAAGCCCCACAATTAACAAAACATCTTATGTGTAAACCTACAAAATAAATATCATATCTATACGCTGCAAATTATATAATGCTGATGAAAGAAAGATCTTAGTAAATGTAGAGATATGCCATGAGCATAGGTTGGAATGCTCAACATACTAAAGGTGTCAGTTCTATCTAAATTGATCTGTAGGTTTACTGCATGCAGGTCTTATTAAAATTCCAGCAAGATTCTAGCCAGTAGAGTGAATCACTCTACCAGATATAAGGGCCTACTAGATAGCTAATAATCAATGTTATGTGGTATTGACAGAGGGGCAGACACACAGATCAATGGGACAGAATAAAGAGCCCAGAAGCAGACTAATATAAATATGCTAAACTGATTTTAACAAAGGTGCAAAAGCAATCCAATGGAGAAAAGTAAGCCTTTTCAACAAATTGGGCTGGAACAACTGTATATCGATAGTCGAAAAAATGACACCCAACTTAAATCTCACATTTTATATGAAAATTAACTCATAATGGATTACAGATTTAAAACTTTAGAAAAAGTTAAGAAAAAAATACTTCCAGAAAAAAAACAGGATAAAAATATTTGGGATCTAGGCCAGGCAAAAATTTTTAGAATGACAACAAAAGCATAAATTATAAGAGAAAACAAACTGGACGTTATCAAAATTAAAATCTTTGATCTGTAAAAGCTCATGTGAAGATGAAAAGACAGACTAGAGACTGGGAGAAAATACATGCAAACCACATAACAGACCAAAAAAAAAAAAAAAAAGACAGTATCTGGAATATACAAAAACTCTCAAAACTGAAGAATTTTTAAAAATTAATTACAAATTAGGAAAAATACATGGAAAGATATTTGCCTGAAAGAATAGACAAATGCAAAATAAGCAAATGAAAAGATGCTCAACATAATTAGCCATCAGAAAAATGAAAATCATAAACCACAATCAATATTACTGTAAATCTATTAGAATACTTAGGGGAAAAAATAGTGACACCACCAAATGGTGGTGAGAATTTGAAGAAACTGAACCATTTAAACATTGGTGGTGAGAATGCAAAATGGTCCAGTTGTTCTTTTTTGGTTTTTTGTTTGTTTGTTTGTTTGTTTGTTTTAGACAGTGTCTCACTCTGTTGAGTGCAGGCTAGAGTGAAGTGGCACAATCATGGCTCACTGCAGCCTCAACTTCCTGGGCTCAAGAGATCCTCCTGCCTCAGCCTCTGGAGTAGCTGGGAATACAAGCATGTGCCACCATGCCCAGCCTAGCACAGCCATTCTTGAAAACAGTTGGGCCAGGCGCAGTGGCTCATGCCTTTAATCCCAGCACTTTGGGAGGCTGAGCCGGCAGATCACTTGAGGTCAGGTGTTTGAGACCAGCCTGGCCAACATGGTGAAACTCCATCTCTAATAAAAATACAAAATTAGCTGGGTGTGGTGGCAGGCGCCTGTAATCCCAGCTACTTGGGAGGCTGAGGCAGGAGAATCACTTGAACCCTGGAGGCAGAGGTTGCGGTGAGCGGAGATCACACCACAGCACTCCAGCCTGGGTGACCGAGTGAGACTCCGTCTCAAAAAAAAAAAAAAAAAAAAAAGTTAGTCAATTTCTTATCAAACTCAACATGCAATTACCATATGACTCAACCACTGAACATTCGTGTATTTGTCTCATATAAATGAAAACTTATGTTCACACAAAAATCTGTACACAAATGTTCACAGCAGTTTATTTGTAACAGCTAAAAAATGAAAAACCCCAGACATCCTTTCTTGAGTGAATGGTTAAACAAATTGCGGTACATCTATACAATGGAAGTCTACTTAGGAATAAAAAGAAACAAACCGTTGATACACACAACTTAGATACATGTCCAGGAATTAGGCTGAGTGAAAAGTGTCAATCCCTAAACATTAAATATTTTATGATTTCATGTATACAGTCATCCTTCAGTATCTGCAGGAGATTGTTTCCAAGATCCCCAGGGATACCAAAATCCACACATGCTCAAATCCCATATATAAAATGGAATAGTATTTGCATACAACCTACACACATCCGCCTGTATATATTAAATTATTTCTAGATTACTTATTATATAAATACAATGCAAATATTTCTTAATCTGTATTTTAAAATTTGTATTTTTTATTATTGTATTATATTTTATTTTTCTGAATATTTTTGACCCACAGTTGGTTAAATTTGTGGATGTGGAACTCAGAGAGAGAGCCAAATGTATAACAGGTTCAAAATGACAAAATTGTAAAAATAGCAAAAGGATGGGGAAGGAAGTTGGTGTGGCAACAGGAGAGATACTTTTCATGTTGGAGCTGTTCTGTATCTTTATCGATGTCAATATTTTGCTTATGATCTGATACTATTACACTAATGTTGTAAGCTATAAGCACTGGGGGAAATTAGTATAAGGTATGTGTGATGTCTCTCTATTATTTCTTCCAATTATGTGTGAATCTATAATTTTCTCAAATTAAAAAGTTGAAGAAAATATAAGAATATAAGATTCAATTAATGTATAATTAGTGTTATATTTTTAAAATAGAGCATTCACCCCAATCCTTAAAATATATTAGTTATGTGGGAATTTCTAAAGAAAAATTTCACAATCAAAATAAAATATTTGAATATATATGTGTGTGTGTGTGTGTGTGTCTGTGTGTGTGTGCGAGTGTCTGTGTGTGTGTGTGCATGTATATACATGTAAAAATATATTTCGGCAGGGGAGCTGGGCATCAATAAAGCCCATTTTCATGCCTTCCATAAGGTTCATTTAAGCTTATTTTCCCATATGGGGAATATGACAGAATGGAAAATATTCTGCCCAGAACTTATCAAAATTTCTTCCAATGGTTAAAATGTTAAGAAAGGTAAAATACTAATTTTTAATCCAGAATTTCAAATCAAATATTTTAAATTAATAAAATAATTATCTTTAATATAATACATACTTCCTAATAGAGTTAATATATAAGTAGCACTCTTGCTTATGTGTATTTTCCTCTACATGGAATTTTAAAGTGATTGAATCTTCCTGCCCATCTTGTATACTAATGACTAATTCATAAAAGTTTAGTCATTTCAATAAATTCAGAAGCAGAAATGAGGCTCATGAGCCATGCACATATATGTATTTAGAATTGCTGTTCAGCACAATAATCATAAAAACGTAAATAATATACATAGAAAAAAATAACTGGAAAGAAATTCTTACCATGTGGTTAGTGGTAATGTTAGGATGTGGAGGGCATATATATGGCACTCCTTCGTGTATCACAGCAGACATTATCAATCAATTACAGGTACTGTGGCCAAAGAATCTTTCTCAACCCTCTGTGCTAGAGTCATTACAAACATGTTAAATTTAGCAATCAAATTAAAATATTTTCCATTCCTTTGTGAGAAACTGTGTTGTGAACTATTTTTCAAATTTTCTATAGTCTGTTACTTTTTGTGTGTGTGACAAAGTCTTCCTCTGTTGCCTAGGCTGGAGTGCAGTGGAGTGACCTTGGCTCCGTGGAACCTTTGCCTCCAAGGTTCAAGTGATTCTCCTGCCTCAGGCTCCCAAGTAGCTGGGATTACAGGTGGGCACCACCATACTCGACTAATTATATTCTATTACATTTTTTATAAATAATATGATTACATATTAAATAACTTAAAATTTTAAGCTGGCATCAAAACTATCCAAAAGAAATATATTTCTTATCCCAAGAAGACTTGTTTAATGGGAAATTTTTACTATCAAAATTAAGAGAATAAAATACTTGAACTTTTTATGAGAGAATAATTCCAAATGTTAGGGAGGTGTCAGAATTGTTTCATGAACCAAAAATGTGACAAAGATTTGTATGTTCAGGGATAGAAATCAAGTCTTTTTCTTTTTTTAGAACTTTTATTTTTATTTTTAATTTACAAATAAAAATTGTATATATTTATGGTGTATATAATATTTTGATATATGTCTGCATCGTGGAATAACTAAATCAAGCTAATTAACATATTCACTACCTCACATACTTACTTTTATTCTAGTGAAAATATTTGAAATCTACTGTCTCTTAGCAATTTTCAAGTATACAATGCATTGTTATTAACTATAATCACCATGCTGTGCAATACATTTCCTGAGCTTGCTCTTCCGAACAGAGGCTATGTGTCCTTTCACCAACATCTCTTCAATCTCCTATTTCCTCTTGCCCCTGGTAACCACCATTCCAGTCTCTGCTTCTGTAAGTTTGACTTTTTTAGATCCCACATATAAGTAAGATCATGCAGTATTTGTCATTATGCAGTGAGAATTAGCTGTCCATTGATTGGCACTTCGTGTAATTTATTAATAAACATTTACCAGGTGACACTGAATTCATTAGTTCTTAAGGAACAAAATAAGTTAAATATAAAAATGAGGCTATTTGGGAGAAGGATATGAATAAGAAAAAGTATCATGTGGTGAATTATCTTATCCCTCTACTCTTTCTTCCAGCCAGTACCTCTTGAGCCTGACAGAACTTAAAACCTCGATTGGCACCCTTGAGGAGTGAGGCCACTGTTCGGTGGCAAAAAAAAAAAGGAGACTGCCATGCCCTCCCCACCACAAGCGCCCATGCTTGTCAGCATGATAAAATAGAGGTTGGAAAAAGATATAATATTAAATGAAGTTGAATATTTTGATAAATTTTGGGGACTGGACCTTTTCAATGTAGTGAATTGAGCTTAGAAAAATGATAGAGAACATTTTTGTGTGCTTCAAGATCAGAGGAAGTCATGAGGTCTGATGGAAGCACCATCAAGAATCAAGGTGAGGATTATCCTCTCAAATGATTTAAAAGACCAGTGAGACAACTAAATAAAATTGATTTTGTGACATTCTGCTTATTCAATACGCTAAAGACCCAAGTATTTGCTAGTAAGACTATACAGAATGTATATGTACATTATAAAATGTACAAAGCTGGTTCCCCACTAAAACTGACCTTCCAGATAGTCCATAGCTGTTGAACAGCTAACAGAAGTCAAGCACCTATCTCAATGCTGTGATTGTATATGTGTCCCTGTTGAGCCCAAGGACACACAGGTGGTATGGAGGCATCAAATCCTGCATTTTACCCAAACAATCTATATCAAGCAACTATGCTTGAAACATTAAACTGTGTCTTCTAAAACTCTAAAATCTCAAATTTTAAGGAAAGGATACATTTCAATTTTGAGACACCTTATTTTAGTAGTGTAATATTATTAGGCTTCCTATCTGACCATTGTATTCATTATCCTAATTAAAAGTAAATATTATTTTTCAGTACACATGCATGTGGAAAAAGGAGTTCATTTCACTGAGGCCACAGGACAGACACAAGCAATCAAGTAAACAATTAACAAGAGCAAACACCCTTTGGGTTGGGGTTTTGTGGAAAGGAGTGTTAAAATCTCATATTAATCAACTTTGAGACTTCTAGACATGCGAGTACCTTTTCTTAATGGATACAAGAAAAGGCTTCAGGTATAAATAACAGATTTCAAGGAGTTCAAATGAGATTCACTAACACCAGCTCTTGTAAGCTTTAATAATATGCAGGCCAGAATTATTTAATGACACCTAAAGCAGTATCATTAGAGTCCTGGAGACACTTGTGTCTTGAACCCAAAGTTGGATGAACAGAAATCTGTTATTAATTTCCTTACTTATTTAGAACATGTGAAAACTGATAGCTGAATAAAGTATTTAACAACTAAATTCCTTTTCAAAAAAAGACTCTTAATGTGAAATTACAAACAGGAAAGAAAGAAAAAATGTTCAAAAGGTTACAAAAATTGATGTATGTAAAAATGTCCATCTAAAAATGACACAACCTCAAAAAGTTGCTTTTTTTTTAACAAGTATGTTCCAAAAGAATATGGCCACATTTCAGAGAGACATTTCTTCTCCCAACACCATGACAAGTGTTGATATCACTAAAAGGATTCTGAAAATGAATTCAAAGCAACATCATTTTTTTTTAATGTTGGAGAAAGCAAAATGACTGGTATGGTATGTCTTGTAAAGACCTTAGTTTTTATAGACTCAACTCAGTTATCTTAATACTCAGAAAAGAGCTATTTGGATTGTTACATGGATCTTTCTCACAAACTTTTTTAAGCACTCAAATTCACACACAGATGCACTTAGACATATACACAAACTTTTATATTTTTTGAAGTGAGCAAGTGAATGTATTCACGATTTCACATGTCTTTTTTCCTCATGGTATATTTTGATCTCTTCTAAGTAATATGAAAACAATTATTTGTAGCTAATGCTCTTATAAAGAGAGTTAGTAGAATTTTCTACAAGTACTGTCTAAGCCCAGGGTGATTTCTCCAAATGGTCTCTAAATTCTCTGTAATTTAAGCACTGGCATTTCACTTCCCTTCTGCTAATCATGTCAAGCTACCTAATTCCTAACTGTAAAATCAAATGTCTTACTGACTTTCCTCTAGCTGAGTCTTCTGGACTATCCGCTCATATTAAGGATTCAATGACTATGCTTTAAATGAACCCGTTTCACTGGCAGGTGCCTGCTGGTTTCTAGGTTTTAAACGGTACCATTACTATCATTTATAAGGATAACATCACATTAAGAATGTATGAATAATTTAAAATTGAGTAGCATTCAGTTTCACAGTCTGTCTGGCACGAAGGCTTGAAAGTGCAAGGTCTTCATTTTATTACAAAACACTGGCTGTCTGGGTAAAAAGAGATGAAAAGTTACTAATTTCAGGCTTTACTTCAAACCCTTTAATCTTGCAAATAAGTGCTTTCGGTGAGGACTTTGTTATCTCCTAAAGCCTAGCCAGAATTGTTCATGCTCTTTGTCTTTTCCCAAGGTCTTTACCTTATCCTAGGTGAGCCAAATGAGACAAAAGGGAATCCACCGAAGGAAGTGATTATTTAATAGAGCTTTTCTTTCTAAACCCGAACTTGTGCTGTTGGCAAACATTATGAAACACGATCATTTCATTGCCATAAATAATGTTATATGATTAAAATTCCATTCTGTGGTTGGGAACAGTGTGATAAACTGTTTGCGAATTGGTAATTCTATTTATTAAAAACAGAGGCATTAATTTTGACACATTGAATTATAACACAGACAAACAGATCTTGTGTTTTAATTAAATGCTCTATTTGATGAGCTTTTTTACTCTACGATTTAATACCAGATCCTTCAATTCGTATGGTATAGAGCAGGGGACAATCTCAGCAGGGAATATAGAGAAAAGCTCTGCTGGGATTCAATAGGCACAGAGCAGAGCTCCTTGGACCGCTCCCTAAAGCATCCCTTCTTTGTGTCAGGCCCAGTACCATTAGCTGGTTTGTTAAAGCCTCTCCAAGCTCTTTTTTTCTTCCAAGTCTCCAGCAAGGCTTCCAGTCCGGTAATGCATTCCTTATTTTCTAATCATGAAGCGGGACTGAATATTTTTAAAATAAATAAATAACAACCAAACTGCTTTGAGCTTTCTTTCACATTAAGCTACATTTAATATTCATTTCACATTTTTTTCTATTAATTAAAAGTAAACCGTGTATTGTATGGTACATTATCCCTCTAACAGCCCCATGTGGAGATCATGAAGTGGAAGACTAATGGTGTAGACTTTAGCATTTAGTTTTAACCAGAATAATTTACATATCTGTGAGAAGAGTCCAAGGCATGTGTAAATAAGCAGAACTCTGAGATATCAAGACCCTTGTTCAGTTTACTATGGACTGCCGAGCTATAGGCTGTGTATTTATTCCATCAGTCAGGTAATTTAATGAGACTTACACAGCATCTATTCCTGTGGAAGAGACAAAAGTTATTATTAAGGAGAGGCATGTGGCAGTAAGAAAAATGTGTTTGCTTGTTTTATTTTATTCTATTACCCCAAGTAGCAAAGGTGATCCTATTCAATGTTCATTAAAGTTTACCTTTATAATTTATCAAAGGGGACCCACATCAACAGTTTTTTGCTGAGATTTCAAAATTGGAAACATTAAAATTTGATATAAAATGCCAGATACTTAGGGAGCCTTTTCATTAGAAAAATAACTCCATGGCTTTAATCTATGGATTTTTATTAATGTACAACTCTATGAAGTAAACAGAAGAAAGAACATTAAAGAAAAGTCATCAACCCTGAAAGGGCATATTAACTTCCAATTACCAGAATTTTGGACCAGTTTTAAGGGAGGAAAACTGTTGCTTAAAGAACTGGGAAATTTAAATAAATGATTACAAAAGCTTAATTTCCAGTGATTTCTCTGGAAAGAATTACACTGTTTCATGAATAGTGTTAAGCAGTCACTAGAAGACAGATTATTTTAAGAAAGAGCCCTGATTCTTTGATAAAATTTAAATTGAATGACGTCAGGCTTTAGTCGTCAAACTGATTTAAGTAACAAACTCTTAAAATATGCCTCGTATAAAATGGTTTTCTTTTTTTGAAAATCATTGTAAAGGCTACAAAATTCAATGAGGTCTTTGACTATATGATGCCAGCCATCCCTAAGAAAAGTGAAAAACACAATTGCCAAGGCTGTTTCCAAATATTCATAATTTTTGGCATCCATGTGGCCAAACAGAAATGAAGAACAGAAGTAAGTCACATCCTACTGATAATTCTTTTTTTACTGAGATATTCAGGTAATTGTAAAGGCTGCCTATATAATTCAAATTAGTTGGATATCTATCTTAAATCTTCATTCTGCTTTACCAAAGTGGAAATTAATATTAAAATATTTAGAGTTGATAGAACTGATGCTGTTCCTTTAAAAACCATCACAATCTTTTGTAACCCAAACCAACAGTACGAAAGCACAAATGTTCAGACATAGACACTGCATTTTTACATGGCCTCTTAAGTGTTCACACTCCTACAAAGGCTGTCAGACCTGCTAAATGGCATAGCCAAATTTCTCTTGAATCTTTTTATAATACAATGATGCATAAGTGTAAGTCAACGTAGCATTTGACTCTTCAAATACCACACCAAAAAATCCTTTAAATATGCAACTCAATGCATAGGATACATTTGAGCCAATTTCACAAAAATATCTGTAACTTTACATACCCTTTGCTTATTATAACCTACACATAATTCTTCCTGCACCAAAAACTCATGTTAAAATTCCCTACCTGCAGGGCAGGTCTACCTTATTCAAATCATAAATTTTACTCTGATTAAATGAAAATAAGTCTATAGGGTACATATTCTTGTAAATGCTAATAATAAATTTCTATTTTCATTATCAAATAATTATTTCAAAGTATATGGAAAATAATTTATTTCCAAAACATTTATTATATAATGAAAAATAAAACTGACAATGGAAGACAAGCTTAGAAAAATAAAGTTATTTATTTCTATGCATTTCTTGTTATACTATATTTTAATCTTTTGTTTTGTCATATTTCTTTCCTAAAGATTGTAAGTTCCTTAAGCCAGAGTCTATAGTTTAGCTATCTCTCTCTCCTCAGCACCATTTACAGTGCCTAATGCATGGAACATCCTTTTTAAAAAACATCTGTATTGAATATTGAATGAGTAGAACTTTTCCAGGAGTCTCAGGAAGAATTTCAAATAGTTTAGTTGCTAGCTGGATTTTAAGATTAAGAAGTAAAAGGTAAATTGCTTTGAATAAGAAAAGTTATACATAAATAATTGAACACATATTTTTAATAACAGAGATGGTCATTCGTTCTGAGAGATGATTAATTTCTCCCTCAAATATTGGTAGGCATGATAGATATGCCACATATTTTTTAAGTTTAACAAAAGAAGAATCAATTCCTATTTTATTTCCACTTAGGTTTTATAAAGTATTTCAGTAGCTCACATTTAGACTGTCCATTTTATGTTTTTAAGACATAATTTGGCATTTAAAAATATTATACTTTCTTTGCTCTTCCAGTAAAGTGTGATGATATAGTCATATGTGTCAATTAAAAGATTGCTTGCTACATCATTTGCTGGCAGGGATTCAATGGAGTTACCCAGAAAAGTGAATCTTGAAGCATTTACCATTCTTTTATTGTGTGTCTTTTCTATATTTCTGTCATTATATTTCTTTGGACATAAATTAAAGCAGAGTTATTTTCTATTAAATTGCTCAGCTAACCATTAGTGATTCTGGATTTTCAGTGTCTTTTCTCAGAATACACATGCACACGACCATATCCTTCTTTTACTGGCTTTGATTTTAAAATTCTGGCATGGGTCTGGGGTGTCTCTATATAGCATTTACTGAAATAATTCTGAATTTCCCTCATGCTTAGGAACCACTGTAGGCTTCCATTGACATCAAGCTTCCAATGTCATATATGATATGAACTTCCATTTTTGTTTTAATAGTATATGATAGACTAATATTATATGACTAGCCCACTAAAATGCATGTACAAAGACTACATTAATTTTCTGATAATTTCAATGCCAAACTGTTATAATAAAGCGACATATTTTAAGTACTGAATATTTGAAAATTCTTCAATAGAGATGCTAGGGTTTTTAATGATCTTTCACTTTACTTTCTGCTTCTTGGTATTGCAAAACATATATAAATATATATTTAAAATATATTTAATTCCTCTTTAAATCACAAGTTTAAAAATGGTTCCAAACATTTAAATGGACTGATGATAACATTATTGAAGCATAAAAAGAAAAAAAAATCTCTTTTGCGTAACATGAATTTTATGATGGAATCATATGATTATATAGATACTGCTAGCTTGAGACAATAGGAACTGGAATGCTGTGGCCTGGAATCTTGTTCTTTATGTATTAATAACAGACTTCTGAGCACACATATTCACTTTCAGATTTTTAAGCAATTAGTTTGCAGATGTCACTAAATAAATGGCATTCATTCCTTAAGCAGGAACCATACCTGTTAACCATCTCAGCCTATTCTAGCTTTAAAGCTGGGCTTGATGTGCACAGCATGCTCAAAAACTGTACTCACAGTTCAAATGAGCTGGATTACAGACCATGACCACTGAGACCCTCACATGACAAAGCCTTTGTGTAATTAATATGCAGGGTAAAATGCTCCCTGGACTGCTGCTAAAGCGATTTAAATCATGCACATAAAAAATGTAATCACAAATTTAGCATGGTGGACAGAGTAGTCACACTGGGCTTGATTGCATAGAAGGTTCCAAGTGTGTTTTAAATGTCCTTTAAGATTGAGATTAAGACTTGTACTTACAAGATGCATATTAATCTAAAACTCAACATTTTTCAGTGTGGGATCACAGTAGGAGAACATTATGGGCAATAGAGGTTCATTCTAATCCCAGTAGGTAATTACACTTTGAAATAATATTCTTTAATTAAATCTTGTTTGCAGTTGATTGATTTAAACACTAAATCTAAAACCCTAAATTTGAGTTTTTATCAATTTTTGATGCTTATTGCACACAACTTGGGCTTTAATTGATGTTTCTGAAGTTTTAAAGCCCTTGTCCCCCATATCCTGGTTTAGAATTTAGTATAATTATCAACATCATTCTTTAATACTCTTGATGGCTTCTTCTGGAAACTCGGTAAGTTTGAGCACTTTCACAATTTTAATATATACCTGAAAGGTTTTTAATATATCACAATTCCAGTATTTACATACATGATTCTTCTATCACACCTTTAATAGACACATAATCTAATCCCTTCTCTGAAATACTGACAGAGGGTTCTATTTCCAAAATATTTATCACTTGCAAGATTACAGTATAAAACTTGGGCTATAACTAATAATAGACAAGGTATAAAGAAAAAAAAGGTTTCAAATTCCAGAGTTATTTGCATCTTTTCAAATTTAAAGTAATATCATTAAGTGACAAAAAAGTTACTACTTTCAGGTATTCACAAAGGAAGGTTGTCCAGCTACACACACACACACCACACACACACACCCATGTGTGTGCATGAGTGTGTGTATGTATAATCTTTTATGTTTATATCTTCTTTCTTACCACTTGGCAAAGCTCACCAAAACTCAATTAAAAGACTTATTGTGGCCATTTTAAGATTAATTTCTTTTATATTCAATAATCCATATGATGCCAAGTCTGTATTATAATTGCTAAAAGCAATATGTTTCACTGTCACCATTGTGAAAGAAGATTATTCTGGCAGGTAACATTAATATCTAACTGAACTTTAGCCTTCTAGATTTTGGAACTCTTACAATTTCTCATTCTTCCAACATAAGTGCTTTTTCTAAAAGAATGTTGTAAAAAAATTTCATGTCTTATGACCCACAGAATGGAACTTTGACATATGTCCTAATTTGGCGCATGATATTATCTGTCAGGAAGTGATCAAAGATCTTCATAATTTGTTGCAAATTTGCAAACTACAATGAACCCTTCTTAATAGGCATCCATATAACCAACTGTTTTTATGGTTTACAGATTTATATCCAGAAACACAAAATTAGGTATGGAGGCCTAAGCATTGTGATTTAAAGATTCTGTTCACCAATGTTTATATTTAAATTTATACAATAAGGACTGGCCTGGTTTTAGCTTCAGCAGTGCCATATAGCAGTATCTTGCAGATGTAGCTCAGTAAATTACATTCATGATGCCATATTTAATAACTGAAAATTCACATTTTACTACAATTGCATTTGTCACTGCTGAAAAACAAACTAGTACGTGGAATGTTTTATTACAATGACTACATTCTTGTGAGAAATGATTAAGTCACTATAAGAGAAAAGTAAGGCCAAAAAACCTCATTCACCATAACGCAAATATTAATCACACATAAATAATACAGGTGTCTTACAGTAAGCCACATTCCCCTAAAATATAGATTATACATCCTAGGGGCAAATAGTAGCACAACAGACTCGAAATAAATCCCTCAAGCCATGGTGGCCAAAACGAAATCATTTATGTTTGACAGTTTAATACACTTTTTGTTTATGCATAACAGATGAAAATATTTACACCAATATAAGAGAGTGAAAGAAAAATTAAATCTGACTAATCGACCTGTTCAAAGTATGATTTTTAATTTCAAGGATTTTTTTATAACTACTGGAAATAATAAATACGCTTTCTACAATTCAACCGTATCCATTCATTTTTAATTATTTTGCAGCGCTAAAAAACAAGCCAGTCTCTCAACTCAGAGACAACTTTCTCTGGTATGTACACATGCCCCAACTGAAGGAAAAGAGGGCTGACTGCCAACCTAGAACACTGCAGGCTGAGATGAATGAACTAGGTGATCCCTAAGAGTGCTGTACAGGAAATAGAGCTGGGAATGCTTCTGGGAAGAGGGTCAGAAGGTTGGGCATGGGGGAGATCTATTTGCCACAGATAGATCTCTTTTTGTACTGATTAGCCTTTTGAACATATGTATATGTTACTTTTGCAATAACAAATCTTTAAAAGGTACAAATCAACAAAATACAAGCTGATAATTATTAGAAATAGATTTCATTTCTGTTTTCCTGCAAGTATTTATTAGGCATTTGTCTCACTTGCAGCACTGGGTTTGGGAATAAAGAAAGGGTAGGAAATTAGGAAACAGGCAGCTCTTTGACCTTTAAGTGTTTAAAATTCATTGAGAAATTTATCTGATAAAATGAGTATCAAGAAAGAACATGTACAAACATGACATTATACGGTTTACACTAAAGCATTTCAGGGAAAAAAATTAACATATTTAGAACACTCAAGTAGGTGGGGATATAAGCAGGCAGTGAGGATGAGTAGTTAGCCTTTGATAGGAACACAGATACCCCAGAAAGTAAGAAGCCTCCAAGTTAAATGCTCGAATTCTGATATTGCTAAATGCATGAAGAAATTATTTATAAAGAAATGAAAAGCAACTGGAGGAACTTCAAGATGGCTCACTAGATGCATCTGGCACATGCCTCTTCCATGGAGAGGAACCAAATTGTGAGTAGATAATCACATGAATTAACAGATCATCTAAGTGAGAACACTAAAATTCAACCGAGAAGTGATGGGAGGCACTGAAAGCAAGGAAGGAGAGGAAATCGAGGCAGCCTGTTCATCAAGGATGAATTAGAGTCTAGAGAGACTTTCTAATGCAGGGAAAGGGTAACTGAGGGAATCCCAGTTGTCCACGTTCCCACCTGGATGCCTACAATCTAAGCCAAGGAGAGTCCCTCAATCTTCATGGGCCACAAGACAAACATAGGTAGCTGTCTGGAAACCACACAAAGGCATTGCTCCAGAGAGAGAGTTCTTTCTAAATCCCATAACTCCTAAGCTGCAGCATGGTGCCAATTTGAGCGGCTAGTCTCCACCAGAATGCGTCCTACCCTGTAGGCAGCTGCACATTTTCATGTACACTGAAGACAAATTGCAAAGCCCACAATTGCCACTGCTGCAAGCAGCTGTAGGACCAATGCGAAAGCAAAGCATACACCCTCCAGGTACCTGCCTATGGTTCACTGAACCTGCTACTACCATCACAACTGACAACCACCAACATGTACCACCTGTAAGTCTCGAGACCAGCCTGCCCAACCCATCACAGCCACTGTCAACAATGGTATGGACAACTTGGATCCCAGAATGTTGTCCCACTACTTCTAATGCCGTAGGCCATGCCACGCTTCCTGCCCAGGGGCTTGAGAACCCACCCATTGGCCAAACCAATCATTGCCATTCCCAGCCCCAAGCAAGCCACCTGGAGGCCCTAAAATTGATCTGCCTAGACTCACTAACATTAGAGCCAACATACATTGCCCTGGAGCCCAAGACAGGCATGCACAGCCTACAGCTGCAACCTCACTAGGGTCTGAATACTGGCCCAGCTGGCATATCAGTTCCCAGCAAAACTTCACCACTATCTCTACTAACAACTGTACCCTAAGCCACAGAAGCAATCACAGATCCAACTGACAGTTTTTATAGCCAAATAAATCATACAGAGACTGCACTACAGAATGCACCCAGAATCAAAGACAAAGGGTCCTAACCAACCAACACCACAGATTTATCTCAGGAAAACGTCCTCCCTTAGTACAGCATATTCCAAAAATGGAAAGAAAGAACTATTACACCAGATACACAGATATTAATGTAAGAACACAGGAAACATTTTTAAAAATGTGAAACCTCCAAAAGAACACAATATTGTTTAAGAACAAATCCCAATCAAAAACACATTTATGAAATCCCTGAAAAAGAATCCAAAATATTGATACTAAAGAAATTCAGAGAGATACAAGAGAATTCTGAAAAATAATAAAGAAATAACTGAAACAATTCAGGATAGAAATGAGAAAGTGACTAAAGAGACAGATCTCATGAAAAAAAACCAAACAGAAATTCTGGAAGTGAAGAATTCCTTGAAAGAAATACAAAACATATTTGAAAGCTACAACAATAGACTAGCTCAAACAGGAAGAAAAAAAATCTCAGAATTTGAATACAGGTCTTTTGAAATAACCCAGCCAGACAAAATAAAGGAAATTGAATTTTAAAAGAATGAGTGAAGTCTTTGTGACATATGGAATGCCATAAAGCAATCAAATTTCTAAATTTTCAGTGTCCTAGAAGGCAAAGAGAAAATGAAAAGGTTAGAAAGCCTATTAATGAGGGGGCGGTTCCAAGATGGCTGAATAGGAACAGCTCCAGTCTACAGCTCCCAGAATGAGCAATGCAGAAGATGGGTGATTTCTGCATTTCCAACTGAGGTACTGGGTTCATCTCATTGGGGCTTGTCAGACTTTGGTTGCAGCCCAACGAGCATGAGCCGAAGCAGGGAGAGGCATTGCCTCACCTGGGAAGTGCAAGGGATCAGGGAACTCCCTTTCCTAGCCAAGGGAAGCTGTGACAGACGGCACCTGGAAAATCGGGTCACTCCTACCCTAATACTGCACTTTTCCAATGGTCTTAGCAAACGGCACACCCCATATATCCCATGCCTGGCTGGGGGCATCCCACGCCCATGGAGCCTCACTCATTGCTAGCCCAGCAGTCTGAGATCAAACTGCAAGGTGGCAGCAAGGCTAGGAAGGGGCACCCACCATTGCTGAGGCTTAAGTAAGTAAACAAAGAGGCCTGGAAGCTCAAACTGGGTGGAGCCCACTGCAGCTCAAGGAGGCCTGCCTGCCTCTGTAGACTTCACCTCTGAGCGCAGGGCATAGCCAAACATAGGCAGCAGAAACCTCTGCAGACTTAAATGTCCCTGTCTGAAAGCTTTGAAGAGAGTAGTAGTTCTCCCAGCACAGAGTTTGAGATCTGAGAACGGATAGACTGCCTCCTCAAGTGGGTCCCTGAACCCCGAGTAGTCTAACTGGGAGATACCCCCCAATAGGAGCAGACTGACACCTCACACAGCCGGGTACCCCTCTGAGACGAAGCTTCCAGGGAATGATCAGGCAGCAACATTTGCTGTTCAACAATATTCGCTGTTCTGCAGCCTCCGCTGCTGATACCCAGACAAACAGGGTCTGGAGTGGACCTCCAGCAAACTCCAACAGACCTGCAGCTGAGGGTCCTGACTGTTGGAAGGAAAACTAACAAACAGAAAGGACATCCACACCAAAACCCCATATGTACGTCACCATCATCAAAGACCAAAGGTAGATAAAACCACAAAGATGGAGAAAAAACAGAGCAGAAAAGCTGAAAATTCTAAAAACCAGAGTGCCTCTCCTCCTCCAAAGGAATGCAGCTCCTTGCCAGCAATGGAACAAGCTGAATGGAGAATGACTTTGACGAGTTAGGAGAAAAAGGCTTCAGACAATCAAACTTCTCTGAGCTAAGGGAGGAAGTTCGAACCAATCGCAAAGAAGCTAAAAACCTTGAAAAAAGATTAGACAAATGGCTAACCAGAATAACCAGTGTAGAGGAGTCCTTAAATGATCTGATGGAGCTGAAAACCATGGCATGAGAACTACGTGATGAATGCACAAGCTTCAGTAGCCAATTCGATCAACTGGAAGAAAGGGTATCAGTGATTGAAGATCAAATGAATGAAGTGAAGCGAGAAGAGAAGTTTAGAGAAAAAAAAGTAAAAAGAAACAAACAAAGCCTCCAAGAAATATGGGACTATGTGAAAAGACCAAATCTACATCTGATTGGTGTACCTGAAAGTGATGGAGAGAATGAAACAAAGTTGGAAAACACTCTGCAGGATATTATCCAGGAGAACTTCACCAACCTAGCAAGACAGGCCAACATTCAAATTCAGGAAATATAGTGAATGCCACAAAGATACTCCTCAAGAAGAGCAACTCCAAGATAGATTCACTAAAGTTGAAATGAAGGAAAAAATGTTAAGGGTAGCCAGAGAGAAAGGTGGGTTACCCACAAAGGGAAGCCCATCAGACTAACAGCGGATCTCTCAGCAGAAACTCCACCAGCCAGAAGAGAGTGGGGGCCAATATTCAACACTCTTAAAGAAAAGAATTTTCAACCCAGAATTTCATATCCAGCCAAACTAAGCTTCATAAGTGAAGCAGAAATAAAATCCTTTGCAGAGAAGCATCCCCATCATCTCAGCCCAAAATCTCCTTAAGCTGATAAGCAACTTCAGCAAAGTCTCAGGATACAAAATCAATGTACAAAAATCACAAGCATTCTTATACACCAAGAACAGACAAACAGAGAACCAAATCATGAGTGAACTCCCATTCACAATTGCTTCAAAGAGAATAAAATACCTAGGAATCCAACTTACAAGGGGTGTGAAGGACCTATTCAAGGAGAACAACAAACCACTGCTCAATGAAATAAAAGAGGACACAAACAAATGGAAGGACATTCCATGCTCATGGATAGGAAGAATCAATATCATGGAAATGGTCATACTGCCCAAGGTAATTTATAGATTCAATGCCATCCCCATCAAGCTACCAATGACTTTCTTCAAAGAATTGGAAAAAACTAATTTAAAGTTCATATGGAACCAAAAAAGAGCCCTCATTGCCAAGTCAATCCTAAGCCAAAAGAACAAAGCTGGAGGCATCATGCTACCTGACTTCAAACTATACTACAAGGTTACAGTAACCAAAACAGCATGGTACTGGTACCAAAACAGAGATATAGACCAATGGAACAGAACAGAGCCCTCAGAAATAATAACACACATCTACAACCATCTGATCTTTGACAAACCTGACAAAAACAAGCAATGGGGAAAGGATTCCCTATTTAATAAATGGTGCTGGGAAAACTGGCTATCCATATGTAGAAAGCTGAAACTGGATCCCTTCCTTACACCTTATACAAAAATTAATTCAAGATGGATTAAAGACTTAAATGTTAGACCTAAAACCATAAAAACCCTAGAAGAAAATCTAGGCAATACCATTCAAGACATAGGCATGGGCAAGGACTTCATGTCTAAAACACCAAAAGCAATGGCAACAAAAGCCAAAATTGACAAATGGGATCTAATTAAACTAAAGAGCTTCTGCACAGCAAAAGAAACTACCATCAGAGTGAACAGGCAACCTACAGAATGGGAGAAAATTTTTGCAATCTACTCATCTGACAAAGAGCTAATATCCAAAATCTACAAAGAACTCAAACAAATTTACAAGTGAAAACCAACGCCATCAAAAAGTGGGCAAAGAATATGAATAGACACTTCTCAAAAGAAGACATTTATGCAGCCAAAAGACACATGAAAAAATGCTCATCATCACTGGCCATCAGAGAAATGCAAATCAAAACCACAATGAGATACCATCTCACAGCAGTTAGAATGGTAATCATTATAAAGTCAGGAAACAACAGGTGCTGGAGAGGATGTGGAGAAATAGGAACACTTTTACACTGTTGGTGGGGCTGTAAACTAGTTCAACCATTGTGGAAGACAGTGTGGTGATTCCTCAAGGATCTAGAACAAGAAATACCATTTGACCCAGCCATCCCATTACTGGGTATATACCCAAAGGATTATAAATCATGCTGCTATAAAGACACATGCACACGTATGTTTATAGCAGCACTATTCACAGTAGCAAAGACTTGGAACCAACCCAAATGTCCATCAATGATAGACTGGATTAAGAAAATGTCACACATATACACCATGGAATACTATGCAGCCATAAAAAAGGATGAGTTCATGTCCCTTGTAGGGACATGGATGAAGCTGGAAACCATCATTCTCAGCAAACTATTGCAAGGACAAAAAACAAAACAGCACATGTTCTCACTCACAGGTGGGAATCGAACAATGAGAACACTTGGACACTGGAAGGGGATCATCATACACCGGGGCCTGTCATGGGGTGAGGGGAGGGTGGAGGGAGAGCGTTAGGAGATATACCTAATGTAAATGACGCATTAATGGGTGCAGCACACTAACATGGCACATGTATACATATGTAACAAACCTGCATGTTGTGCACATGTACCATAGAACTTAAAGTATAATTTAAAAAAAAAGAAATCCTATTAATGAAACAGTAGATAAATATTTCCCCCTTGAGAAAGATTTAGACATCCAGATACAAGAGGCTCAAAGATTCATGAATAAATAAAATTCACAAAAGTCTTCTCAACAGCACATTATAGTTAAACTGTTAGAAGTCTAAGACAAAGGGTGAATTCTAACAACAGCAACAGGAAAAGGATCTAGTCACTTACAAAGAAATAACAGTGGATTTCTCAGCAGAAATCTTCAGGTCAAGGGAGAATGGGATGATATATTCAAAGTACAAATAGAAAAAAAAAACTGTAAGCCAAGGAGACTATACACAGCAAAATTATTCTTCAGTTATGAAGAGGAATGAAGTCTTTCCCAGACAAGCAAAAGCTGAGGAAATTCATCACTGCTAGACTGATACTTCAAGAAATGCTTAAGGGAGTCCTATACTCAGAAGCAAAACAACAATGACTACCATCATGAAAACACAAAAGTTAAAAAGCATATAACAGAACAAACACAAAAAAGGAAGAGAAAAAACTCAAATGTTACCATTACAGAATACCACAAAACTGCAAAAGTAAAAAATAAGAAAGAAACAAACAAATGATATGCAGAACAATCAGAAATCAATTAATAAAATGACAAGAATAACCCGTCAATATATCAATAATAACCTTGAATGTAAACAAATTAATCTTTCCATTTAAAATACATAAACTAGCTGAATGGAATTTTTTAAAAAGCATGATTCAAGTATATCCTTCCTACAAGAAATTCTTCTTACCTCTAGACACATATAAACTGAAAATAAAATGACGGGAAAAGATATTTCATGCAAACAGAAAACAAAAGTGAGGAGGAATGGCTATACCTATATCCAATGAAACATACAAAAACACAAAATTTCTTAACAAAACTAGCAAACCAAATTAAACAGCACAACAAAAAAAAAAATGCACCATGATCAAGTGAGATTTATCCCAGAAATGCAAAAATGTTTCAACATCTGAAAATCAATAAACATTGTATATCTCATCAACAGTATGAAGGACAAAAACAGTATGATCATCTCAATGGATGCAGAAAAAGCATTTGACAAAATTCAACATCCCTTCATGATCAAAGCTCTCAACTGGGGGTGGCTGGCAAGATGGCCAAATAGAAACAGCTCTAGTCTGCAGCTCCCAGCTAGATCAACACAGAAGGCGAGTGATTTCTGCATTTCTACTGAGGTACTCAGCTTATCTCACTGGGACTGGTTAGACAGTGGGTGCAGCCCACGGAGAGTGAGTCAAAGAAGGGTGGGGCATCACCTCACCCAGGAAGTGCAAGGGGTTGGGGAACTCCCTCCCCTAGCCAAGGGAAGCCGTGAATGACTGTGCCATGAGGAATGGTGCATTCCAGCCCAGATACTACGCTTTTCCCATGGCCTTTGCAACCCGTAGACCAGAAGATTCCCTTGGTTGCCTACACCACCAGGGTCCTGGGTTTCAACCACAAAACTGGGCAGCCATTTGGGCAGACACCAAGCTAGCTACAGGAGTTTTTTTTCATACCCCAGTGGCACCTGGAACACCAGTGAGACAGAACCATTCACTCCCCTGGAAAGAGGGCTGAAGCCAGGGAGCCAGGTGGTCTAGCTCAGTGAATCCAACCCACACAGAGCCCAGCAAGCTAAGATCCACTGGCTTGAAATTCTCGCTGCCAGCACAGAAGTCTGAAGTCAACCTGGGATGCTAGAGCTTAGTGGTGGGAGGGGCGTCTGCCATTACTGAGGCTTGAGTAGGCAGTTTTCCCCTCACAGTGTAAACAAAGCCGCTGGGAAGTTCAAACTGGGTGGAGCCCACCGCAGCTTGGCAAAGCCACTGTAGCCAGACTGCCTCTTTAGATTCCTCCTCTCTGGACAGGAGATCTCTGAAAGAAAGGCAGCAACCCCAGTCGGGGGCTTATAGATAAAACTCCCATCTCTCTGGGACAGAGCACCTGGGGGAAAGGGAGTCTGTGGGCACCACTTCAGCAGACTTAAACGTTCCCTGCCTGCCAGCTCTGAAGAGAGCAGCAGATCAAGAGAGCACTCAAGCTCTGCTAAGGGACAGACTGCCTCCTCAAGTGGGTCCCTGACCCCCGTGTCTCCTGACGGGGACACACCTCTTGGCAGGAGTCGACAGACACCTCATACAGGAGAGCTCCAGCTGGCATCTGGCGGGTGCCCCTCTGGGACAAAGCTTCCAGAAAAAGAAACAGATAGCAATCTTTGCTGTTCTGCAGCCTCCACTGGTGATACCCAGGCAAACTGGTCTGGAGTGGATCTCCAGAAAACTCCAGCAGACCTGCAGTAGAGAGGGCTGACTGTTACAAGGAAAACTAACAAACAGAAAGAAATAGCATCAACATGAACCAAAAGGACATCCACACAGAAACCCCATTCTGAAGGTCACCAATTTCAAACACCAAAGGTAGATAAATCCATGAAGATGAGGAAAAGCCAGTGCAAAAAGGCTGAAAATTCAAACAACTAGAATGTCTTCTCCTCCAAAGGGTCACAACTCCTCGCCAGCAAAGGAAAAAAACTGGAAGGAGAATGAGTTTGATGAATTGACAGAAGTAGTCTTCAGAATATGGGTAATAATAAACTCCTGTGAGCTAAATGAGCATGTTCTAACCCAATACAAGATAGCTAAGATCCTTGAAAAAGGTTAGAGGAATTGCTATCTAGAATAACCAGCTTAGAGAAGGACATAAATGACCTAATGGACCTTAATAACACAGCAGGAGAACTTCGTGAAGCATACACAAGTATCAATAGCCAAATTGATTAAGCAGAAGAAAGGATATCAGAGATTGAAGATCAACTTAGTGAAATAAAGTGTGAAGACAAGATCAGAGAAAAATGAATGAAAAGGAGCAAACAAAGCCTCCAAGAAATATGGGACTATGTGAAAAGACCTAACCTACATTTGACTGGTGTACCTGAAAGTGATGAGGAGAATGGAACCAAGTTGGAAAACACGCTGCAGGATATTATCCAGGAGAACTTCCCCAACCTAGAAAGATGGGCCAAAATTCAAATTCAGGAAATACAGAGAACACTACAAAGATACTCCTCGAGAAGAGCAACCCCAAGACACATAATCATCAGATTCACCAAGGTTGAAATGAAGGAAAAAATGTTAAGGGCAACAAGAGAGAAAGGTCAGGTTACCCAAAAGGGAAGCCAATCAGACTAACAGTGGAGCTCTCTGCAGAAACCCTACAAGCCAGAAGAGAGTGGGGGCCAATATTCAACATTCTTAGAGAAAAGAATTTTAAACCCAGAATTTCATATCCAGCCAAACTAAGCTTCATAAGTGAAGGAGAATTAAAATAATTTACAGACAAGCAAATGCTGAGGGATTGTGTCACCACCAGGCCTGCCTTACAAGAGCTCCTGAAGGAAGCACTAAATATGGAAAGGAATAACTGGTACCAGTCACTGCACAAACATACCAAATTCTAAAGACCATTGAAACTATGAAGAAACTGCATCAATTAATGGGCAAAATAACCAGCTAGCATCATAAAGACAGGATCAAATTCACACATAACAATATTAACCTTAAATGTCAATGGGCTAAATGCCCCAATTAAACACACAGACTGGCAAATTGAATAAAGAGTTGAGACCCATTGGTGTGCTGTATTCAGGAGACCCATCTCACACACAAAGACACATATTGCCTCAAAATAAACGGATGGAGGAATATTTTCCAAGCAAATGGAAAGGAAAAAAAGCAGGGCCTGCAATCCTAGTCTCTGATAAAACAGGCTTTAAACCAGCAAAGATCAAAAAAGACAAAGAAGGGCATTACATAATGGTAAAGTGATCAATGCAACAAGAAGAGCTAACTATCCTTAATATATAGGCACCCAATACAGGAGCACCTGGATTCATAAAGCAAGCTCTTGGAGACCTACAAAGAGACTTAGGCTCCCACACAATAATAGTGGGAGACTTTAACACCCCACTGTCAATATTAGACAGATGAACGAGACAGAAAATTAACAAGGATATTCAGGACTTGAATTCAGCTGTGGACCAAGCAGACCTAATAAACATCTACAGAACTCTCCACCGCAAATCAGCAGAATATACATTCTTCTCAGCACCACATCATACTTATTCTAAAATCAACCACATAATTGGAAGTAAAGCATTCCTCAGCAAATGCAAAAGAATGGAAACCATAACAAACAGTCTCCCAGACCACAGTGCAATCAAATTAGAACTCAGGATTAAGAAACTCACTCAAAACCACACAACTACATGGAAACTGAACAACCTGCTTCTGAATGACTACTGGGTCAATAACGAAATTAATGCAGAAATAAATGAGTTCTTTGAAACCAATGAGAACAAAGACACAATGTACCAGAATCTCTGGGACACAGCTAAAGCAGTGTTTAGAGGAAAATTTATAGCACTAAATGTCCACAGGAGACAGCAGGAAAGATCTAAAATCAAAACCCTAACATCACAATTAAAAGAATGAGAGAAGCAAGAGCAAACAAATTCAAAAGCTATCAGAAGACAAGAAATAACTAAGATCAGAGCAGAACTGAAGATGATAGAGACAAAAAACCCTTCAAAAAAATCAATGAATCCAGGAGCTGGTGTTTTGAAAAGATCAACAAAATAAATAAACCACTAGCCAGACTAATAAAGAAGAAAAGAGAGAAAAATCAAATAGATACAATAGAAAATGATAAAGGGGATATCATCACTGATCCCACAGAAATACAAACTACCATCAGAGAATACTATAAACATCTCTACATAAATAAACTAGAAAATCTAGAAGAAATGGATAAATTCCTGGACACATACACCCTGCCAAGATTAAACCAGGAAGAAGTTGAATCCCTGAATAGACCAATAACAAGTTCTGAAACTGAGGCAGTAATTAATAGCCTTAACCAAAAAAAGCCCAGGGCCAGATGGCTTCACAGCCAAATTCTACCAGAGGTACAAAGAGGAGCTGGTACCATTCCTTCTGAAATTATTCCAGTCAGTAGAAAAAGAGGCACTCCTCCCTAACTCCGTTTATAAGACCAGCATTATCCTGATACAAAAACCTGGCAGAGATACAACAAAAAAAAAAAGAAAATTTCAGGCCAATATTCTTGATGAACGTTGACGTGAAAATACTCCAGAAAATACTGGCAAATCGAATCCAGCAGCACAGCAAAAAGCTTATCCACCACAATCAAGACAGCTTCATCCCTGGAATGCAAGGCTGGTTCAACATACACAAATCAAA
Organism: Homo sapiens; assembly: GCF_000001405.40. Lineage (NCBI taxonomy): Eukaryota > Metazoa > Chordata > Mammalia > Primates > Hominidae > Homo > Homo sapiens. The sequence goes on from NC_000002.12 coordinate 155,884,068, forward strand.
AAAAGTAATCTATTATATAAACAGAACCAATAATAAAAACCACATGATTATCTCAATAGATGCAGAAAAGGCCTTTGATAAAATTCAACACCCCTTCATGCTAAAAACTCTCAATAAACTGTGTATTGACGGAACGTATCTCAAAGTAATAAGAGCGATTTATGACAAACCCACAGCCAATATTATACTGAATGGGCAAAACCTGGAAGCATTCCCTTTGAAAACTGGCACAAGACAGATATGCCCTCTCTCACCACTCCTATTCAACATAGTATTGGAATTTCTGGCCAGGGCAATCAGGCAAGAGAAAGAAATAAAGGGTATTCAAATAGGAAGAGAGAAAGGCAAATTGCCTCTGTTTGCAGATGACATGATTGTATATTTAGAAAACCCCATCGTCTCAGCCCCAAATCTCCTTAAGTTGATAAGCAACTTCAGCAAAGTCTCAGGATACAAAATCAATGTGCAAAAATCACAAGCATTCTTATACATCAATAACAGACAAACAAAGAGCCAAATCATGAGTGAACTCCCATTCACAATTGCTACAAAGAGAATAAAATACCTAGGAATACAACTTACAGGGGATGTGAAGGACCTCTTCAAGGGGAACTACAAACCACTGCTCAAAGAAATAAGAGATGACACAAATGAAAAACATTTCATGCTCATGGATAGGAAGAATCAATATTGTGAAATGGCCATACTGCCCAAAGTAATTTATAGATTAAGTGCTATTTCCATCAAGCTACCATTGACTTTCTTCACAGAATTAGAAAAAAACTACTTTAAATTTTATATGAAACCAAAAAGAGCTTGTATAGCCAAGACAATCCTAAGCCAAAATAACAAAGCTGGAGGCATCACAATACCTGACTTCAAACTATACTACAAGACTACAGTAACCAAAACAGCATGGTACTGTCCAAAACAGAGATATAGACCAATGGAACAGAACAGAGGCCTCAGAAATAATGCCACACATCTGCCAACATCCGATCTTTGATAAACCTGGCAAAAACTAGCAATGGGGAAAGGATTCCCTATTTAACAAATGGTGTTGGGAAAACTGGCTAGCCATATGCAGAAAACTGAAACTGGATCCCTTCCTTACTCCTTATACAAAAATTAACTCGAGATGGATTGAAGACTTAAACATAAGACCTAAAACCATAAAAACCTTAGAAGAAAACCTAGGCAATACCATTCAGGACATATACATGGGCAAAGACTTCATGACTAAAACACCAAAAGCAACAGCAACAAAAGCCAAAATTGACAAATGGCATGCAATTAAACTAAAGAGCTTCTGCACAGCAAAGGAAACTATCATCAGAGTGAACAGGCAACCTACAGAATGGGAGAAAAGTTTTGCAATCTGTCCATCTGACAAAGGGCTAATATCCAGAATCTACAAGGAACTTAAACAAATTTACAAGAAAAAAATCATACAACCCCATCACAAAGTGGGCAAAGGATATGAACAGGCACTTCTCAAAAGAAGACATTTGGGCTGGGCACGGTGGCTCATGCCTGTAATCCCCGTACTTTGGGAGGCCAAGGGGGGTGGATCGCGAAGTCAGGAGTCCAAGACAAGCCTGGCCAAGATAGCAAAACCCCATCTCTACTATAAATCAGAAAAAAAAAAAATTAGCTGGGCATGGTGGCAAGCACCTGTAATCCCAGCTATTCAAGAGGCTGAGGCAGAAAATCACTTGAACCCAGGGAGCAGAGGTTGCAGTGAGCCGAGATCGAGCCACTGCACTCCAGCCTGGGCAACAAAGTGAGACTCTGTCTCAAAAAAAAAAAAAAAAGAAGACATTGATGTGACCAAAAAACATATGAAAAAAGGCTCATCATCACTGGTCATTAGAGAAATGCAAATGAAAACCACAATGATACCATCTCATGCCAGTTAGAATGGCACTCATTAAAAAGTCAGGAAACAACAGATGCTGGAGAAATAGGAATGCTTTTACACTGTTGGTGGGAGTGTAAATTATTTCATCCATTGTGGAAGACAATGTGGCTATTCCTCAAGGATCTAGAACCAGAAATACCATTTGACCCAGCAATCCCATTACTGGGTATATACCCAAAGTATTATAAATCATTCTACTATAAAGACACATGCACACATATGTTTTATTGCAGCACTATTCACAATAACAAAGACTTGGAACCAACCCAAATGATCATGGATGATAGACTGGAAAAAGAAAATATGGCACATATACACCATGGAATACTATGCAGCCATAAAAAGGATGAGTTATGTCCTTTGCAGGGACATGGATGAAGCTGGAAAACATCATTCTCAGCAAACTAACACAGGAATAGAAAACCAACCACCACATGTTCTCACACCTAAGTGGGAGTTGAACAATGAGAACACATGGGCACGGGGAGGGGAACATCACACACTGTGACCTGTCATGGGGTTGGGGGATAGGGGAGGGATAGCATTAGAAGAAATACCTAATGCAGATGACAGATTGATGGGTGCAGCAAACCACCATTGCACATGTATACCTAGGTAACAAACCTGCACGTTCTGCACTTGTATCACAGAACTTAAAGTATTAAAAAAAAAAAAATAAAAATAAAGCTCTCAACAAACTAGGCCTAGAAAGAACATACCTCAACTTAATAAAGGTCATTTGTGGCAAACCCACAGCTAACATCATACTTAATGGGGGACAGCTGAAAACCTTACCCCTAAGAACTACGACAAGACAAAGATATCACTTTCACCACTACAATACAACATAGTACTGGAAGTCCTAGCCAAAGAAATGGGGCAAGAGAAAGTAATAAAGGGCATCCACATTGGAAAATAAGTCAAATTGTCTCTCTTTGTTGATGCTATGATTTTATATCTGGAAAAAACTAAAGTCATCAGCAATAACAAAAAAAAAAACCTCTTAGATCTGATAAATACATCTAGTAAAGTTGCAACATAGAAATCAACATACAAAAATGAGTAATGTTCCTATACACCGATAATGAAGTACCTGAGAAAGAAATCAATAAGGCAATCACATTTACAATTGCTACAAAAATTAAAATATGTAGGAATAACGTAAACCAAGGAGGTGAAACATCTCTACAAGAAAAACAACAAAATATTGATGAAAGAAATGGAATATAACACAAACAAAAAGACACTCTATGTTCATGACTGGAAGACTTTATATTATTAAAGTGACCATACTGCCCAAAACAATCAACAAATTCAATATAAATCTTAGCAAAATACCAATGTCATTTTTCACAGACATTTTTAAATCCTAAAATTTGCATGGAACCAAAAGAGAGCCTGAATAGCAAAAATAATTCTGAGAAAGAGGAACAAAGCTACAGGTGTCACATTACCTGACTTCAAAAGTACATTAAAAGGCTATAGTAACCCAAACAGCATGGTTTTGTTATTAAGAAAAATAAAAGAAACATAGATCAATGTAACAGAATAGAGAATCCAAAAATCAATTCATGCATATACACTGAGGAAAGGCATACTCTTCAATAAATGGTACTAGGGAAGCTTGATATCCACATGCAGAAGAATGAAACTAGGACTCTATTTCTCACTATATGTAAAAGTGAAGTCAAGATGGATAAAAGACTTACGTGTTCAACCTGAAACTATGAAATTAATACAAGAAAACATAGGGAAAACATTTGAGGACATTAACCTAGGAAAAGACTTTATAGCTAAGACCTCATAAAGCACAGACAACTAAAACAAAAATAGACAAATGGGACTACAGTACTCTAAAAACTTCTGCAAAGCAAAGGAACAGAGTAAAGAGACAACCTGTTGAATGGGAGAAAATATTTGCCCACTATTCATCTAGTAAGGAATTAATATCTGGAATATATAAGAAATTTAAACAGTAGCCTAAAGCCAAATGATCACATTCAAAAGTGGGCAAGGACAAGAATATTTCTCAAAAGAATTTTTCAAAAGAAGGCATAAAATGGCCAGCAGGCATATGAGATAATGCTCAATATCATTAATCATCGGGCAAGCCCAAATCAAAACAACAATTAGATATCATCTTATCTCAGTTAGAATGGCTATTATTAAAAAGACAAAAAATGAAAATCTTGGCAAGGATGTGGAGAAAAGGCAACTCTTATACATTGTGGGTAGGAATGTAAATTAGTACAGCCTCTATAGAAAACAGTATGGGAATTTCTCAAAACACTAAAAATAGGACTACCATATTATCTAGCAATTTCACTATATTCCTTTATCCAAAGGAAAATAAATTAGTCTATCAAAGGGATACCAGCATTCACATGATTATTGCAGCCCGATTTACAAAAGCAAAGATTTATAATCAACCTGAGTATTCATCCATAGATGAATGGATAAAGAAAATGTAGGCCTGGCGCGGTGGCTCACACCTGTAATCCCAGCAGTTTGGGAGGCCGAGGAGGGCGGATCATGAGGTCAGGAGATCGAGACCATCCTAGCTAACACGGTGAAACCCCGTCTCTACTAAATATGCAAAAAAAAATTAGCTGGGCGTGGTAGTGGGCGCCTGTAGTCCCAGCTACTTGGGAGGCTGAGGCAGGAGAATGGCGTGAGCCTGGGAGATGGAGCTTGCAGTGAGCCGAGATCGCGCCACTGCACTCCAGCCTGGGAGACAGAGCGAGACTCCGTCTCAAAAAAAAAAAAAAAAAAAAAAAGAGAAAATGTGTCATATATACCCAATGGAATGCTATTCAGCCATTTAAAAAAATGAAATCATATCGCTTGCAGCAACATGGATGGAAACAAGAGGTCAGTATGTTAAGAGAAATCAGCTAGACACAGGAAGACAAATTTTGTATGATCTCACTTATTTGAGGGAGGTAAAAAAGAAAAACAATCTCATGGAGGTAGAAAATAGATACTAGAGGCTGGGAAGAGTTTGTGGGTGGGAGGAGGAATGAAGAGAAGTTGATCAATGGGTACAAACATGTATTTCAATATAAAGTATAAGGTCTAATAGTCAATGGCAGAGCAGGGTAATTATAATTAGTAACAATGTATTATAAGCTAAAAGTAGCTAGAAGACAGAACAAATAGAAATGACAAATATTCAAGGTGATGAATACCCCAAAGACCCTGACTTGATCATTACACATTCTATACAAGCATAAAATATCACATGTACCCTATAAGTATGTGAAATATTATGTATCGGTAAAACAGTAACTTAATAAAAATTAAGCAAAAATCTTAAACATTTCCCAGAAAAATATTTACAAATGGCCAATAAAAATGAAAAAAAGTGTTCAATGTTATTAATATTTAGGAAAACATAAATGAAAACCACAATATTGGATTACTACTCAGCAATACATACAAATGACTCCTGAACATAGAATATATGTTGCTATGTATGTGTATTGTATGTATGTATCCATTTATGTTCGTATGTATACATTTATATGTACATATACAGTGTATGTATATGTGAATGCATCTCAAAACAATCTTGGGCAAATGAAACAGGATACATAAGAAAATCTATTATATGGTTCTTTCTAGCTGAAGTCCAAGAATAGGCAAAAGTCATCTGTGGTGATAAGTACAGATAGTGATCACTTCTTCAGGGCTGGGAAAGAATGACTAGAAAGGAGGATAAGGGAACTTTTGGGAATGACAGAAATATTTTATGTCTTGCTTGTAATAATGCTTATACACATTAACAAACTGAACCAGTACTCAACAAATTGAACACTTAACATATGTGCATTTTATTGTATAAGAAATATGCCTTAGTTCAGAAAAAAGAAAAAAAAGACTCTTTTCCATTTATTTATTAAAATATTTTTGGGGAAAGTTACTATAATTTCATACTTCATCCAAAATTTTTGACTTGTAGTAATGAATGCAATTTATTTCCTCCCATCTGGGATCTTACAGTTCATTATTTTTTCTTTCCATGACAAAAGGAAAGGATATAATACCTGGAGTGCTCTTTCAGCTCTTTAGCTGGTAAGGGACAAAGCTTTATTCAAATCACCTCAAGTAATAAGATTATATTGTGAACATGCACATTGACCTAATCTTGAGAAAACCCAGAAACAGTGGTAGGTTGGACTTCTGGAATTTGGAACAGGTCAAAAATTAAAGAACTCAAAGCATGTTTGGGAGCTAGTTAGCCTACCCCTGCTTCAACAGAAGAACAATGTCAATCTCTCTTTGTTATCAATTCCTCCACTTCTGATCTAGCCACCACCAATCCAGCTATCTCACATTCTAATGCTCTATATCTTTTGTCTTCCACTTACACATATTTACTCCCTCATAGCCTCTGCTTACTTGTTACTTCAGCTTACTCAACTCTATTATTGCTAACAAAATAATTCCCCCTTTCTCCCTATCTATTCAGCAAAATGTTTCCAGATAGAATATGTGAGCTGGCCTAAATAATCCTCATCTGTGTTTTGACTATCTAGTAACAGAACATTCATGCAAAATTACCTCCCAGGCCATTCTACCAGACAGCCTATAGACTAGCTGCACTGAGGCAATTGTCCTTCCTTGAGTGAACCAGCTGTGACATAAAAACACAGTAAGGTGATGCCATCGGAGCAAGATATGGGTTAAGAAACTAAATTTAGATTTTCCCTCAACATGAGGCTAATCATAACCAGATAAATCTCCTTTAGATGGTGCAATAATTGGTAAAAAATGTGATTGCCTGTCTTGCATGTTGTTTCTCCCAAATAATACAAAAATAACTGAACTCTATGATAGTTTTTTGGGGGGTAAGAGTTTGGGGGGAACTAGCAGAAAGGTACTACTCCCTGAAGTTGATACTTAATTTGCATTAAATAACCTAAAACAAAAAATTGACAAAATTTATATCAAGGTTTTAGATGTTTTAAATAGAACACATTTACATGTGACATTTGAACCAAAAAATGCGATTTATCCATAATCACAAAATAAGATAAGGTAATCTGCTGCATAATTATCATTATTCAAACAAGTTATCATTTTAGAAACTTACAAGTTAAGACTCCAAAAATCCATTTTAAAAATGATCAAGTAAAAGAATATCCTATTTTTCTTACTTGATTTGTTTTTAATACTTGTTTCTGTCTTTCCTAACTGTCTAGTTAGTAATTCTCTTCAAATGCTATTTTCTTTCTCCAATGTCTACAGCACCAGGAATTCTTTATTGTTTTGCAACCAAAATGTCCAACCAGTCAACATCACAGACTCCACTGTTCCACCTATCAGTAGGAGTGAAGCATCCTACTGCCTGTCAACGGAGGAGTCTTCAACTTACCCCGTGGATTTTTCCTTCTTTTCACCCACTGCATTAGTAAGAACTTTGCTTCTCCATTATAGCTCCTAAATCATAGATTCTCCCTCCTTTCAATTCTATCTGAATCAGCATACAAACATGCTAAATCCTATCTTTTAAAAAGAAGGAGGGAAGGAAGGAAAGAAGAAAGGAAGAAAAGAAAAGGAGGGGAGGAAAGAAGAGATAGGATGGAGAAGGGAAGGAAGGAAAACAATTTTCTTTCTAGTCTACTTCCCTTTGGGCTGTCTCTTTCATCTCAAAATTTATTGAAATAATGATACATATTTACCTTCTCCACATCCTCTACTCTAATCTCAATCTAATCCAACCATACTATCTTTCTAGCCTACTTCCCTTTGGACTGTCTCTTTCATCTCAAAATTTATTGAAATAATGGTATATATTTACCTTCTCCACATCCTTCTACTCTAATCTCGATCTAATCCAAACATACTATCATTCTCACAGCATCACTAAAACTGCTCTTGTTAAAGTAACCACATTTTAAAATCCAATGGTCCAGTCTCTATTCTTATCTAATTTAAACCCTTATCAGTACTTGATAAGTAGTCTCTCTACCTTTCTGAAAATATTTTCTTTTCTTGGTCTCAGTGTTTCTACATTCTTAGTCTTCTTTCTGTTTCACTGATGGCCATTTTGTGGTATCATTTGCTGGATTTTCCTACTTGGCTTAACTTCTAAATTTTGAAGACCTGAAAACTCAGTCTTGTATCTCTTTCTCTTTTGTATCGTCCACCTCGGTGACCTCATCCAGTCCCACAGTTCTAAATTCCAACTGCAAGGCTCTGTCTGTATCTTTCTAAACTCAAAACTCATTATCTAACTACTTAGTTCATTCTGCTTCTTGAACGGCAGAACAAATTTTGTATGGTAAGTAACTAAAACACATTTTTTAGTTTTTTCTTGCCCAAATTGCTCTTTCCTGAGCTTTCTACACTCTGGCAAGATGACCACCATCTGCCCAGCTTTTCAAGCCAAATACGTAAGTTCATGTTCTTCTCTTGCTAAATATGAGAATTCTCTAATGAATTCCCATTACTCCAAGAATTGAGTTGGTGAAGCAGGTTCAACGTGCACTGGTTACTTATCTGAGTTTGCTGAGAAATAACACTTATACACATAAGTTACAAGAAGAGGGTTTTTTCACTTGCAGATAGGCAGCAAGGGACAAGAGCACCATAGAATTAATTGCTGGATGGTCCTCAAAGTCTCAGGAAAGCTTCTCCAGGGTGGATGGAGTCTCAACTGCTTGTTCCCCACTTGCATCACAGCTGAGGGACCCTGGAAAGCAGCCTGCCCTGGATTTTATACTCTGGTGTCACAAGACTCACTGCACTAAAGCACTGCAGGACATCCTGTTGTTACAAGGGACTGCAACAGAGCCTAGGCTATTACAGTCAATCCTCCTTTATCTCAGAAATTTGCATTCCCATCAAATTCTAAAGTTTTTAGTTTTTTGTTTTGTTTTGTTTTTGATAATTACAAGTAAGAAAGGAGGGAGGACTTGGTTGGTCCAAGGTTAACCAGAGAACTGTTTGGCAAAATCATGGTCTTTGACTTTATTTAGTTACAGTGTTCCATGCAATCTGACCCCATGCACCTTTCTGATGTCCTCTTTTATTGCCCCCCTCCATTTTTTACTATGCTGTAGCTGCATTGGATATTTTCTATTTTTTGAACATTATATTTTAAATTAAATGCTAGACTAGTCAATCGAATATAGCCACCAACATTCTCTATCTCATTATTCTTTTATAATTTTCTTCATTAAAAGCATCACAATCTTGTCTAGCCTTGACTTTTGACAATGAACCCAATTTTAATATGTAGTATTTTTGTATGCCAAACTGGTGTCTTGTCTCTTGTATACGTGGTAATGTTGATTTTATGACTACCATTAAAACACATTTGCTGTGATTAAAATTCATATGATGATTTCAAATGGAAAATTAAAGAAATTATCACCATCTGATATTTATCTTTTTGTTTTTTTTAATTACTATTGCAGTAGAATGTTAACTCTATCAAAGTAGAAACTTCACCTATCTATTCTCTACTATCTTTCCAGAGTTTAGAACAGTCTGGTATATAGTAGACATTCCAACAACTTTCAAATAATTCTAACAAGAATTCAGGAAAATATATGTGAATAGTGTGTGACCCAAAGTACATTAACTATTATTGTTTTAAGTTATTTTTTCACTGGTATCACTATTTGTATTAATAATGTTATAAGTGGTTACAGGTAAAATAGTAAGTACAACATGTGTATGTGTTAGGAAGACTGTAGTTCTCATTAAAATGTTAATGTAATGGGGGCATGTGTTTAGCTTTATTCCATGTGTGTGATGTTGGCTTTCACTAACATCTAACAAAGTTAGTGGCTTTGTGGCTAACTTTGTAACTAACTAACAAAGTTAGTGGCTAACAAGTGTTAGTGGCTTTCACTAACACTAGCAAAAGCTTGGATGTGGGAAGGAAGAGCATCCACTTGCTTCACACAGCCATGGGCAATGTAGCGTTCTGTAACAGCCATCTGGGACAGGTCCTAAATTGAATACATGTCAGCCATGTGAAGCTGCATCCCACCTAGTTGATTTTCAGACCCGCTACCACCAAATGTCCCATTCTCTCTCCCTGCTTCCAGCTTATTGGTTTGCCCCATGCTTCCAGCCTCAGGCATCTTCTCAACCTTTCCCCAAGGAAAGCCCTCAGTGGTCCCCAGGAAGGCCTTCACCACTATTGGCGAAAAGATTTAAGGAAATGAAAGAAACCTGTCTCCACAAAACACATAAGGTTGCTTCATGAAAGAGAATGATTAGCTTTAGAGATTTTTCAGCTCAAAAAGAAAACATGTTACCTTGTTTTAGATACTCACATTAAAATGAAACCTAATGTATGAACAACAATAACAAAAAGATTATTCCAGCAGTATACTAAGAAATAGATTCTTCATAGTTTACGTGGACCCAGTGACTTTTGTAGGTGCTGAGCAATTCTATTTTTGTGGGCCCCTTTCTCAATAAAAATTATCAAAAATATATTTTCTGACCATATTAACTGACATAAAATGAATGTCATTACATATTAAAAATTTTTTCTTTATCTAAAAGTTTCTTGCTTTCCCTTCAGATTTTAAAATAAATTAAAATCTTTTCATAGGCCTCTAAAAGAAGGGAGGCTCAACTGCTGTGCTTACAGTGCCTAATGGATAAGTTGGCCCTGCTCAAATGAGAGGAAAATATTTTGAATGCAGTTTGTCTCTCAAATGGCTAAATCATTCTTCAAACCAAGCACTATAGTTGTGTCTCACAGAGTTTTTATGGTTTTCCATATCACTAAATAATCATTTAACATGTACTTAGAGCACTTAGAACACAAAAGACAAGGACTGTGGTTGCCCAGATTACTAGAAGAGCTAAATTGAATATATTTCTCCAACCAAATTAAAGCAAAATTTTAAAATAATCAAACATGTTGCTATTTAATATCCCTGAACATATGGGTTCACAAGAGCACTCACTGATTTTTTTTTGGTAGGATCTTTAAAAACTAGAAAGATCCACATAAAAATAAATGTTATATCTTGGTCCATTAAAAATTAATATGGAATTGGCAAACCAAATATTGTATTATAATGATTAATTACTCTTCCTTTTTCCCTACTCTTCCTGCAGTTATTCAGACAGGGTTTCATATACTCTGTCCTACCTCCTTTCCCCAATTTGCCCATAGGGAGGATAGCTATACATTCCAATGAGCCTTTGGAATTCTCTGTTTATCCTTTTGCCCCAGTACCTCCCTTTCACTCTTACAAGTTAGACAATGAATCATAGTCATCCTATCTATAGTGACTCAAGAGTTTGTTCTTTCAATTCTATTTATATTCTCGTCAAATTAAACTATTTTAACAGCAGAGAAAGATAAGGAAGCTATCTGTACCAGATTAAATCCCTTGAAACATAGGTCTGCATATGTAAGTTCCAGATGCAAAAATTACCATTTACTTTCCATTGGTTATACAATAAAGTTCAATATAAGAATGTCCTTAATCTGATTTTAACCTCTGAATACACCATACTCTCTCCTATCTAATCTATTTACTGTTCTCCCCACTTACTTTTCATCATACTCTGACTCTCCCCTCTCCTAGATATTTCAGATGAAATATTCTGCCCATCCCAGGCCCAGCCCCAAAGAGCGAAATCTTAAAAGCTAGCCTATCCTGCCAGGATCCCAAGAAGATCTTTCTCTTCCACCCTCTCCCCCAACTGTGAAGGGCTATTATCTGATAATTCAATTTTTCCTCAACATTGATAACCTGCTTTATAGGTAGAAAATAGATAAGTGTCTATATAGTTATTTCAGAAATTTAGTTGTGTCTAAACTATGTCTTCTTCTACCTCCTGAAATATTGTTGGAGCTTCATCAAACATATTCTTAAATTAACCTTCAAATACCCCTGAGAGGGAAAGTTTTTAAAGTTTTTGTCAACAATTTATAACCTAGTGTAAGTTAAAATTTTGAAAATAGGTTTTAATACGGAGAATGGAGGCCTAAGTTAAAGGAAGGGAAAAACAGTATCTTGCCAAAAGAAAATTATTTTGATTTCTAGTCTAGCTAACTCAATAGCCCATGAAATCTTTACCTGCTAGAATCAGCTTTGAACCCGTTTAAAAATATTCCTGTGTTGTGGAGGCATCCAGCAGAGTGTTTTAAAAAAATGTGCACTAGAGTCTTTGAAATGTGGACACAAACACGGATTCTGCCATTGATTTGCTGTAAAACCTTGTGCAATGTAAGAAAGTTCTCTAAGCTTTAAATTATTTAATCTGTAAAAGATGATCATTCTTAACTAAAATTGTTATAAAGATATGTGAAAATAACCTTACTATCGTGCCTAGTTTACCCTGATTTCAGTGAAAAACTAAAGACCCTTCCCTTTGCCACTTTTCAAAAAAAAGAAAAAAGAAAAAAGTAAGACATCACAAATGTATCAACATTAGAAGAAAAGAAAGATATGTAAAACTAGAGCAATTTACAGGGCAAAATATCTGACTGGAAATAAACAAGTTAGGTAAAAAATATTCCAGACCCCACCTATAGAGAAACCACTGTATTTTCTCCATCTTTCCCATTCTGGGAATTTTAATCTCTGGAGGAAAAACAAAATGAAACAAAAACAAAACAAAGAAATTCTGGGATTCAAGCACAGGAGATGATGGGAGAATGCCACCACCATGTAAACAGTGGACTAAATAAAAGTTCCCACACATAAGGGTAAGTTCAACAACCTTCTTCTCATCCCACTTTCAGTGTATACAGCTAAGCTTGTATTACCTTACATACCCTGAAAAAAAGCAAGCTGGCCAGCAGGCTGTGCACCCTCTAGCAAAATGGTCAATTGGCAGTCTTCCCTTTGCAAAGTAAGTTTTCAGTCAGCATAACCAACAACCATCAGATATTTGCAAGAAGATCTGAACAAAAGATCTTGAAAAAAAGGAAACATCAAAATAAATAGGAAATAAAAATAAAGATAATAGAATTGTGGAAAATATAATGTCATCAGTAGGTTAAGAAAATAGACAATATTGCATTCATACAATATAAAGATAGAATGCCATTGAAAAAATTAGAGAACAAGACATGGGCCGTACATTTCAAAAATATTTTTAAAATTAAAAATCAATATTAGAGTTAGAATATAAGCTCAAGGAAATATCTTAGAAAGAAAAAAAAAAGCATGATAAGTTGGATGAGAAAAGGTAAAACAATTAGAGGATCAAATCCAAAGCTCTAACATCTGACTAGTAGAAAACACAGATGGTGAGAGGGAAATTATTTTTAAAAAAAATACGTAAGGAATTGTTCCTGAATTAAAAAATATATATATTTCAGATATGTACCCAGTATGAAGAATGACAAAGATTCATGCCAAAGTACAAAATCATAAAATTTCAAAATGTCACATATTAAAATTAGATTCTAACTGCTTCCCAAGAGAAAAACAAAACACTGTCCTTTAAAGAGGTTAATATACAAGGGATCAAGAATCAGAGAGATATGCGACTTCTTTGAAGAAACACCGGGAGCTAGCAAACAATGGAATAAGTATGGTTAGGGGACAGATATTTAAGATGGAGAAAGCATCAAACAACTTACTTTCCAAGAACTCTTTCTCAGAAAGCTTATTAGAAAATTTACTCCACAAAACTAAAGAAGTAAAGCAAGAGAGAAATAAAGGTAATTCCAGAAGACAAGTATTAGCTATTAGCAGGCCTAGATTGAAAACCATCAAACCAGATTTGAGATGGGGCCTTCTGAGAAAGAAAGAACTGAGAAATAAAGTTGACAAATTCAAAAATATGAAGGCATAGAAAATTGTACTAAATATTTGACAGTCATGGGGAGATTTAGCTGTGAGTACAAAGAAATTAAGCAAATTAAAAATAACAACATGTAGGGCCCAGTGGTGCATACCTGTAATCCCAACACTTTGGGAGGTTGAGGTGTGAGGATGGCTTGAGCCCAGGAGTTTGAGACCAGCCTGGGCAACATAGTAAGACCTCATCTCTACAAAAACAAAAAAATCAAAAACTGAGGCAGAGGATTGCTTGAGCTTGAGCTTGAGCTTGGGAGGTCAAGGCTGCAATTGGCTGTGATCACACCACTGCATTCCTGCCTGGGTGGCAGGGTAAGACCCTGTCTCAAAAAAAAAAAATGAAATTTTTTTTAAGGAAAATTATCAAAAGCTATGCAAGAAAAGAACTACTCCCGCTGAGTTGGTCTGCCTCCATCACATCTTGGAATCAGAGCTTTTTGCTCTGAGCTGGAGGATGATTAGAACTTTAGGCTACCTGCCCAGCAGGAATTTCAGAGGTACAGGCCAGCCCCCTTCACACTGATGAATTTCCATTTATCTAGGCCTTCTCTAGCCTTTAACTTCTGAGCATAAGTGAGCTCCTGTTTGGGAGCTTATAATAATCTCATAAAGCCACTCTTGTCTTGGTTTTCAGCTGACTGGCTTTCCCCACCACTAGCAAACTGTTCTATCTTCATTCCAGTTTATTAAAATTGGTGAACTGTGTGCCTTTTAGCAGAGGAAGACCAAGTCCTTTTTGGTTTAATTTTCATAATTTCACTTTATCTTTATATATTATCCAAAAAATGTGAAAAGAATTGAAAAAAAAATTCTATGACCAGTTGAGTCTTCATTTGATGCCTTGCCTTTGGTAGAATAAATAATTTCAAGATTGCATACCTGGGTGTATGAGAGCTGGGTATGTGGAGCTCCCTTCCAGGTAGTTGTCTTTATTTCCTATGTCCTTTCATTCCCAATTTATGTTTGGTTCCACGGAATTAGTGCCAGGAAGTTACTAAAATCCTGATTTCCACTAACATTAAGTCATTGTGCAAATACAATGGGGGACAAATAGTCCAGTATTTCTAGGTTCAACTGGGATACAATTGGACTGAAATGAGAAGCAGGAATGCACAATGTGAAAGAAATTATGGGAAACCAAGAGCTTTAATCTTGACTATCTTCTAGCAACATAAAAGAGAAACACATGTACATTGATAGCAATTGCAATAGACAATTTAAAACAAAATCAGTGTGCCCCTACCCAAACATCTGGCCATGGATAAACCCAATGTTGTAATAGTTTGGACAAATGAGTCCTGGTCCCTTTCTATTTGCTAGTTGCATCCCTTACCTTATTATGAGACCTACCTCTCTATTAAATTACTTGTCTAACTAGTCAACTTGCCATTTCCTTGTAAACTGGCTAAACATTGAGAGTGGTGAACTTGCTGAATTGCACTGACTGTCTTAATGGAGGTTTCTGGGAGAATATTATGAAAGGTTGAAGGTAGATTTTACAGTCACTAAGTCCGGGGTGAATATAACAAGAATCCATTGTAGAAGTGGACATAGGCTCCCAGGAACCACATTACTTAGGCTATGCTATCGGCAAATGGCCATATGAATCCACCGGTGGTCCTGTAGTGGGTGACTTGCTGAATGGGCACTACCATCTGCACATCCAGATAGATACTTGACACGTATTACCCTCAAATTCCTGTGAAGTTGACTGCAGCACAGCAGGTGCCATGGAATAGCTTGTGCTCCTTAAATTCATAGCATGTTCAATGTTCAAGGAGTTAATTAAAAAATACTCTCCAGATTTACACATTTTCTCAGAGTAGATCAAAAGAGGGTTTGGAAATACAAGCCTAAAGTAAATAAGACCAACTGCTGATTTTTCAATTAGGTTATGTTTCAGGGATACAAAATTACATATTCCTTTCCTATGCACATCCCCTGCACTTTTTAAACACAGAGCAACCCATTATTAAGCTATTAATCACCTCTTCCAATTAATTGCTAGAAAATGACCCAGATTTTAGTAGTAGTGTTGCAATTGAAAAGCTCTTTGATATTTGGCAAGGTAAAGTTACAGGCAGTAGTAATTTGAGACAGTGAGGCTATTAGCTGCTGTTTAGAATCTCAATTACTCTAAAGATAGATAATTACAAATAAAACAAACTTGTTCTCCTACATTAGTAAGTGCTTCTCTTTTGCTTTATGAAATTTCAGTGATTTTTTCAGCCACTAAATATAATTTCCATGTGAAAAATTGACCTTAACAGTTTGAAGTATAGCTACAAGGAGAAGCCGTGTTTTCATCGAAGAGAATAAATGCATTTCCTGAACTCTGGCTGTTAAAGCTAATTGATTTATTGGCTCTCTATATAGTGTGCTATTGTCTTTATGCTCTTGGGATATGAAAACTCTTCAGAAAAGAGCTAAATTCTACCACATCAATATGACAGTTGAAGCACACCTCTCCTTTCTGTAAGTGCAGGGTTCCTTGCACCTTAAAAATAAGAAAGAAAATCTCTTTCCAGGATAAGTTGGAGCTAACTGAATGCTGCTGCATCCCTTGGCTTATGGAATGTGTACTTTTACTGCTTTAATGTTCCTGAGAAGTTAATAGTGTGGGGGTTCTTTTCTTTTTAATCATATTCCTTTCACAGTAAAATATTTATTCAAGCAAATGTAAAGTACTTGTCAAAATATGAGAATATGAAATTTCCATTTTTAGGTTTCTTAAACACAGCAGTGATACAAAATATAAAGTGATGCATTTTCCCCCAGGGCTAGTTTTTAAATTCATTAAATTACCAAGTATGTTTTTGTTTTATTTCCCTTCTACCTTTTGGTTGCTATATAAATTACTCCATATGAGAGAAGTTTCTCAGCTACAATTGATCTCAACATTGTACAATCATCTGCATAAAAAGTTATGAAGTCAAACAAATAAAGTGAAAAACACAAACACTGAAATGGTTCTATCTAGATGTTCCCTTAACATGAGGTATAGTCAACAGACTGATGATGCCTTTAAGAAGAATCTCAGTTCAGAAAGCAAAACAAGGGTGAGCATTTTATAGCACGTGTACATCTATCAGGCTGACACCAAAGGCCATGGAATACTGATGGAATGATTCCAGGTTCAAGGTATCCTACACAGCCTGCAGGCCCATGGGCCACCAGTGAGAAAATTTCATCTTCCCCTCTTCCAAACCTACCCTTTATATAGCTGTTGATTTGGGTTGGTAGGAAAGATTAGATGATAGGTTTGTTTTTTCTTAAAAGTTTCTTTACCTCCAACAATATATACATAATAGTATTGTATATAAAAAATATACTGCATAAAAATATTTTTTCTCTCATAGTAAGAGCATTAGTATATGATTTGCTAATGTCACCATCATGTTTGGCCCAAGTGCCTGTTAAGACTATATGCTGACTACTATCAGAAATAGAAAAATAAAGAGAAGCATACATATGTTCAAAGGAAATTAATAAAACAAATTTCCCTTGCTTGTCAAGAAGGTCTGAATAATAGCTGAAAAATAAGTTAATTTATTTAAGAAAATATGACTTCTCTTTTAGACATTCATGTTTGGGGGTTATTTCTCTGTTCTCCACCACCAGAATGTATTACCCACCAATTTTCCCTAGATAAAGTCTTCCACAATATGTAATTGTTGTCTTTTTCATAGTAGCACATCTTTAGAGCAAACCAGTAGAGTGCTGCTTCCATTTAAAAGGGAGAAATGTTACTAAGTAATTCACAAATTGAAATTGTCTTTCTGAATGCAGAAAGCTATGCAGCCTTCATTTGACATCAACAGTTTTGGAACAGAGAAAGTTCGGAATTTCAATTAATTTAGTTTGAACAATGTAAGTTAGTTTATGTGTTGAGATAAGGACAAGACAAAGCTTTATTTTGAAATAGGAAGTTTTATCAATAGACTGCAAATGTTTTCTGAATGGCCATTGGAAATAGGGGGTATGGGCATATGGGATACCATTTAAGAATGGATATATTCCTGACTGGGCACGGTGGCTCATGCCTGTAATCCCAGCACTTTGAAAGCCAGAGGCAGGTGGATTACCTAAGGTCAGGAGTTCGAGACCAGCCTGACCAACATGGTGATGCCCCGTCTCTACTAAAAAATACAAAAATTAGGTGGATGTGGTGGTGCATGCCTGTAATCCCAGCTACTCGAGAGGCTGAGGCAGGAGACTCACTTGAACCCAGGAGGCAGAGGTTGCAGTCAGCTGAGATCACGCCATTGCACTCCAGCCTGAGTACAAGAGCAAAATTCCATTTCAAAAAAAAAGAAAGAAAAAAAAGAATGGGTATACTCCCTATATTCAAAGTTTTTATAATCAAATTGTGAAATATACATATTGTTTAATATTCACTATTAGATTATAAAAACATATGTTCACTATTAGATTATATGTATAATCACATATATATATATACACACACACACACACACACACACAAACATATATATATAGTGTTTCTCACTGAAGTCCCAGGGGCCTGCAGGCTTTGTGGGATACCTTGAACCTGGAATTATCTCATCAGTATTCCATACTCATTGGTGTCAGTCTGACAGGCTTACACACACTATAAATATCATTCACTATTCACTAACATATATTCACTATTAGATTATATATATAACATATTTATATATATTAGCATATATTCATGCAATTATTTCCAGAGAGCCTGGCAAGATGAGTCATCAGAATTTTGCAGTGTAGTTAAAAAGAGAAAGCTTACAATCAGATATTCTGCATTCAAAGATATTCCGAATTCTATGTATATTGTGGGTCACATTGGTTAGTAATCCCACTTCTTCATATCCATCATAATGTTGGCTCAAAAAGTCAGAGATGGAGTGAGGTATCTGCCAATGATGAGTATTCCCCCAAATTTACCTTTACAGTATTTTCACATTTATTGACTCTAGTGTTTTATTGTATCTTATAAATCTTTGCATCCGTAGAAACTTTCACAGTGACCAACACATTGTAGTACCTAAGTAAACAGTCAATGACTAAGTGAATAAATGAATAAGTGAATCTCAGCATTTCCTCGTGATAAAACACTAAGCACAAACTGGGATGGATTACAGACTTTTCTGAGACCATGCCTTGGTGCACATATGGGAACCCTTTGCTTCACCCACCATTGGAGAAGAGATATCTGCAGATGCTCTGCAAATCTCTGACTATGTGTATGTGTGTGTGTGTGTGTGTGCGTGTATGTGTATATATACACACAAACTTGTGAATACACTATAAAAAGCAGCAAAGTTAATAGAAAAAAATCAGCCTCCATCCTAAGATTAGAATTCTTTTCTGGATTTTTCTGGTCCCATAATGTTCACAGTAATTATATGACATTGACTATCTATATACATTATATCAGCTAGGTCCTTTCTATTTAGCACTTGATTCAAACTCTAGGATGAAACTCTATATTTCAGTATCTGTCAGATTATTTTTTTCCTAGACTCCTGCTTACTTTCTCCTTTGTTTTTGAGATGATGTCTTGCTGTGTTGCCCAGGCTGGACTTGAATTCCTTGGTTTAAGTGATTCTCTTGCCTCAGACTCCCTTTTAGCTGGGACTACAGGTGGACACCACCATGTCCAGCAAGGACTCCTACTTAGGATGTCTCCTAGTCGGCTATCGACTGTTTCCACATACCTTGTATATTTACCCTAATTTAGTGAATAGAACATGATGAATTGATCATAGTTTATCACATCTTTCAGGTCTGTATCAATTAGACTCACCATTCTCAAAAAAAATTATACTATTTTCTACCTAAATAAGCATTAATAGTCTCGCAGATACAAAGGAGAAACTAATCTGATCAACAAAAGTCTAAACTTGGCTGCTTTCATGTCTTCATAGATAATCAGAAAAAACAAATTTTTATTTATGAATTACAGTAAAGTACCTAAACAGGTAGCCTCTACTGACAAATGAGTGAGGAGGTACAGGACAAAGGTTTCATGGTATATCCACGGAAACCCAAACTAAAGCATTTCCATTTCCAGTGTTACTTTCTTAGTAACTATCCATTCTTGGTGAGACAAAGAGTTTGTTGTTCAAAGTGATGACAAGTGACATGTACTAAGCAACACACAGAAGCGTGAAGATCCAGAATTAAAAAAAAAAAAAAGAAAAGGCAGAGGTATGGCAAAGCAGAACACTTCAAATCTCCTAAAACAATTTTAAAGTTCTTCTGTGATCATACATGACCAAGACTTATGTTAACCTAATAATGCATAATATTCAAGTTCCCACCTAATTGGGCTTGGACAATGCCCCTCTAACACAAAAGATCACTTTGCAGAATATGCACAGGCAATAATTACAATTTGCAGGGAAATGGCAATTCAGGAGAAAAAGTATCAATTATATTACTTTGAGTAGTTGTGAGTCTTTGTCATCCATTTTTGTCAAACTTTTCAAACAAGTCTGAATATTTTCACATAGGTATAGGGAGCCTATTGCTTGTCTGCTTGTTCTATCCTTCCTCCATGAAATTGGTAATGAGGCCTACTCCCATTGGTACAGTACATAGAGAATGAATTGTTTGACTAAGTCAACCAGAATAAGATGTCCCAAGAGCCTGAGAAAGTTTAGAATAGTATCTCAAAGAAATCATTATTCTGCAATCACTTAACTGAATTTCATCTTTTTGGTTTGTTAGGGAGACTGGAACAGGTGTTAATATCCACATATTACATATGTGTATATTACATATCCACAAGAGGAAGAGGAAGAACAAGAGGCAAAGAAAGAACACAGATCAACCCTGACTGTACATGTCTGCACATAATCCACTGCCCTATCCACTTTTCTACTCAGGCCATGTGGGTTTAAAACCCAGCCCCGTAGCAAGTTTTTAAAAAATACGAATTTAGAGAAATTATAAATATCAGGAAAAAAACAGGGTGTTTGTTCGCCACCAAATTTTACATATTTTCTTAGAATTTTGAGAATAAATAAAAGGAAGTTTGTTCAAATCCTATTTCATTTACCTGTTCCTTCAGTGCAAAGGGAAATAGCAATCCTGTGCAAAAATGGCCACTCCTGCCTTCCTAGCATTCTTATGTGTTATAAAGCCCTTTATAAGATCTGATACCCAACTGAGTACTTCCTTTCACCATTAACTCCTTAAACCATGAATATTTAAAGCAAACAAAGTTTAAACCCCTTACTCTTTTCACAGTTAGTATCTATAATCCCTTTTTCCAGACTAGGTATTTCTAAATCGTGTTAAATCTTTCATCTTCCTTCTGGTCAATTTCAAGGTTTTTATTGAATCAAATGCAATTTTTTTATACCAGCGTTTCTTTTGCTTTTAGACATTTCTACTGGCTTAGCAAGAGCTGTTCAAATTAGGTGATTATTTTATATGTAGTACCTTGATTTAAGCAGTCTTAATTTTTGGACAATAATCTCCAGGTGAATCATTAATTTATCTCTTTATTTTTAATGCATGGGACAATTAAAATTTGTCCTGAAAAATTAAGGATATTTTCCTTTTGTGGAATTTGAAAATAGTTTGATTTTTCTATTTTGGCAAACAACTCAAACTCTATTTTCAATAATCCTAAAAGTTAAGAAGGCAATAAATGGATCCACAATTAAATATTACATTTTCTTCTGATAAATTGTTGAGGAATAAACTAAAATCAATATAGTTGCACTACATTGATTTTATAGTACAGTGATTCCATAACAGGGTTTTTTTCCTCACCTGAAATAATTTTATTTTCTATAAAGTTATAAAATATTGTATATCAGACTTTGTTATTTATTTCTCTTAAATCATAAAACCAAAGGAAAGGTAAAGAGGAAGAACAGTTAACCTCTGGTGACCAAAGGTACACTTGATCTGTTATTTTGTATTCTATACTCTTCAAAAGAGCAATATAAACAGAATTATTTATGCCCAGCAAAATGTTGCTTAATTACTTATGCACCACTGTTTGGTTGTATTTTAAGCTCTCTCTACCACCCACAGGCAGACGTTAAACAGCTGCTAAAAGCTAGCTTTAGTCTTGCCTGTTTGAAATTAGCATACTTGAGCTTTGAAAAAACTTTGTTACCAATTTACATATGCATAGAGACTGATATTTAGACTCACCATATGATATGTCCCTCAAGAGCTTTTCTTATTGCCTCCATCCTCAGGTCTCAACCTAGAGACTGTAAATCTAGCAGGTGATTAATTCTATACCCTTGAGAAACTAGCAATTAGCACTTGCAACCAGTAAAAAATTGTCATTTCAAAACCCTGTTTACTATGCCCATGTATTTTCTATGAACTCACAGTTAACTCTAAATAGATGGGTATGGCAATATCTGCAGACATTTCTGTCTCTTTATGTAAAATATAATATTGCCACCAGCTAATCAACCTATTAAATATATATAATTGACATTCCTTTTTAAATATAAAATAGCAAGATGTAGCAAGCATGGAAACACTATACATGATGTTTTATGTTACTAAACCTTAATCAGTTCATTTCAACATGACGACTTTGTAGGGTTTACCTGTTCTGTGTCAATTCTTATCTCTGATAGCTGAAATTACCGTACTTCCAGATGTTCTTATGCATTATTGAGGTCTTCTGCAGTAGATGCTGGAAAAGGTAAGATAAGGTTTTATTTCTTTGTAGTAGTCACAACACTGAGATCAAAGATGGTAAAGTGCAGTGCTTAGTATTGAAAACTATGATGAACCTAACATTTATTTTCAGGTCGCAAACCTATCATAAAAACTGCTCATCAATCTTTAGTTAACCATTTCATGTGTAATCTGTGAGTGGAGCAAGAAAATATTTTGAAAGGTTTAAAAACACATATTTGACCACATAATAAACTAATGCTAATTATGCATATATATAACGCTATAGTGGAAGCTCTATCTTGTGAGACAAGAGTGAAAATTAAAAAGAAAATAGGGACATTAAGATTATTTCATAGAATAATTTGCACTAAATAATTCACTTTGGTCAGAATGTAAGAATCTGTTAAAGAATATATATACATATATACACACACACACACACACACACACACACACATGCACATATATATATTTTTAAATGGTTTCTGATAAAATCTGCCAGTACTCCAGAGAGTGCTAACTGAAGTGAAAACAGAGTAATTCCATTTTCTGAAATGTTTTCAGTTCAGTTCAAGGGAAAGAAGATAGGTGAAAATAGCTAACATGCATGCTACCCGCAGTGTGTTAACTTACTATAACCAAAACATTTCATTTTGAATTATATGTTACACATTTGTATGATTACAAGAGTAAAAAGGAAAAAAAAATGCCATTTAGAATATCTTGATTCCTAACTTGAGTAATCATCAGTTAACAGATAGCATTACTTTAAAAACAGGCAATAAAAATTCAGAAAACCCATGAAGGAACAATTTAGTTTCCAGTATTAGAACACCAAGGGCAATGGAGCTCCTTTATTCAGAACAGCAAAGCTAGAAGAAAATGCAAAAAGATCTCTTAGAAAAGTGGACCTTATTTTCTCCAGTTGCACAGTCATTAGATGGTCTGCTAAAAAGGCCTGCTAGACTTTCGACTAATTACATCATCGGATCATCATACAGTTAAAATCAGTTGCAGGGCACTCATACACAACTAAATCCCTGTGTCTAATTACTATTTTAGTCTCTTTTTCCTTGTGACATGTTGGTGATAGATCATTATTTTTTCAGCAATTTGTTCGCATTTATATGCAATATAATTGGATCTGATTAATTATTATGATTAATGACTGCAGAATTTCCTTGCAAAGCTATTAATACTGGTAGTATCAAATGAAAGACATGGACAAATTAAAGCCAATGGATTCCTGTTGCTCGCACTTGCAGCGCCTGGGCTAAAGTAACCCTTTGCTGTTCCCTAGCAAACAGAAAGTGACTGTAAACCTGAGCTCTTTGAATGGTTTTCAGAAGCTCATAATGTGTGAAGTGTTTAGGATGCTTTTGGGCTTATTTAGGTGCATTGTAAGTGAGTAATCTGGCAGGTCTATGTTCAAGGAGCTCAGAGTATTATTGATTTGAAGTAGTAAGAAAATGTGTAGCATTAAAAATATGTAGAAAGCTATTAAGAAATAATTGTCGTGAAGGATATTTATAATTTCTCCATTTTCCTTGACAAATATGATATAAGGCACTTAGTTAACTTCTATTAAATGTCAGATTACAAAATTACTAAAGGACATATTTATGTAGAGTGTGTTTTGTATTTTAAATTATATTCTGGCTTAGTAGTAGGATATTACATGTAAAAAAAGCAAACAACGACTGAGTAGCTTAGGGGATCGACTTGCCTGTTACCTCTGGGACCTGACTTTAAATCTGGCTTTGAGCAAACTGAAGAAAAATCATTTCAATCTAATGGCAGCAGCAAATAAAAAAAATCAGATAGTTTGAGTTCCTTGAAGGTGGCAGCAAGCTTTTTGCTTTATGAAGTGTCCAGAATTCTGGGCTTTAAAGAAAAGAATTGGGTTTGGAGGATGCATGCCTCATTATAAATTGTAAAATCCAAAAGATGTTGAGTATAATTTGCATCTTTCATAAACAGTACCAGCCTTGCTCATAGCATGAGTCTTAACAGGGGGCATGAAGGCTTGAATCTTGCTGAGAAAATGGATTCATTCCGTCTGACCCAGAATTGGTAGTGGTGCCTGCATTAGCATCAAGATTCTCAAAAGAGTTAAAATATAGCTTTTTAGTTAGATCCAGATGCAGGTATCTGATAATATTCAATGTGATAATGCTGGAAAATTAGTATTTTTTTTAACTTAAACAACGCTTGCTAGCCAACCCAATATATAAATGCAAGAGATGAATTTGTTTTATAAACAACTGTAATTTTTCTTTGATGATTCATATTAAACTCACCAAAAAGAGAAAGAAGGTAGCCTAAAGGTATCATTGTGTGGAGGTGAATAGCAAAACATTGAAAGCACACCTGACTCTTTAGTCATTTTAGTTTTTCCCAGACAGTGAATTCCTGTGAAGCTTTCACACAATTATTGGTATTGAAATGTAAAATTATTTATTCAAATTCACACATTTTAAAAGGTATGATTTGTTTAATCATTATAGAAATGATTAAAACAAATGCAAGAACCTCATTAAAAATCTTCTAGTTTCTACCAGAATAAGTAATTTGGCCTATCAGAGTTCTTAAATAGGCCACCAAGACCACCACCACCACCCCATTCCCCGGCTGAATGGCTTTGTATACATTATTTATATAAGGATAATGCTAGTTTTTTTCTGAGAGTAGAAAAATGGGATTAATGTGAAGATCAACACTGAAGCTATTTTCATGAGCTCCTGGTATATATAAACCACGTTTATGGCAATTACTTTAGAAATTAGGGCTGGCCTTCACCCCAGGTGAGAGTGAGAGTTGTGGTGAAAGGCAAGAAACTTGTTAAAGGGTTTCATTTCTTTTCCTAGGTAAGCATCACCGCCCAGGAGAGAGAGGGCACTCGCATACCTGATAAATAACGTTGGGTGTTCACAGTTGCTAATATGAGAAAGGTAATGAAACAATTAGTAACAGAGCGATTAATGACATTATTAAATATACTGTGTATGAATTGCCATCAAGAAAATTGGTTTTGAAATATATTTTGTGGAAAAATGCAACATAAAGCAAATAAAACTGCACACCATCCAGGACATCAATAAGAATAGTCCTGGGCCCTGGGTGCTTACAATTAATGTAGATGACCTATCTGTCACTACAAGGGAACACCTTTCCATTCTCCTCTTATCTTGGTTTCAGGTAGTCACTTCCAACTACTTGAGAAAAAAATATACACATAACATTCATAACTGTAATACCTTGTAGCAACATGTATCCCAATGTTTTACATACTTTCACAGGAGAAATTTTATATTTGACATATGTATTGTTATTACAGAGACAAAGAGACCCTAGTGTTGTGTCTGATATGTATGACCAAAAGACTCCTCAGAAGAAGACCATTTAAATTTTAATCAAACAAAAGAACAAAATGATTAGAATCACTTTTTCCCACATTACTATTTTAGAAAATAATCTTATTTGTCAATTATTTAACGATTCAGAGCCAATAACAAATCATCTAGCAAACCAGGAGAAGAATCGGGAGTAATACTAGGTCTTTGAATCTGATCTCAGCCATGGACTGACAGCAAACCATTTAAGAGGCAGCATCAACTCACTGCATCCTCTGAGGGATAGAATCTCTAGAAGCTGCTCTCTGGTGCACTACACTCTAGGTAGTCTGTCTTAATTCTATTCTAACATCAAGAGTCTATCCAAACAAGGAGGGCTCTGAGGAAACCTGATCAAGACTGAACAAGGATTAGAAACGTCTCTACCCATTATTGAATTAAACTACTGTGTCAGAGTATAATGCAACCCTGACAGGAATGTCGAGTCTGGGTTTGCCCACGCTTACCTATACAATAGAGTATAGAGCAAGGCGTGGCTAAAATACAAGCACAGCAAGGGGTATAAATCCTTTCAATTTTTCAAACCCAATACCATGATTTCCATCAGTTTTTTCTACCACATAGTGAGCAACCTAAAATAGCTGGTGACTGCTTCTTTTCTCTGGAATACTCATCCTTCCTAGCCAGTGATGAGTCCATAGTTGTTGTGTTTTTTTTTTGTTTTTTTTTTTTGTATAATTGCAGTATAGAGTCTTTTATTTAGAGTTTTTAGACCCTTTAAAGACCATCTACGTCATACTCATCATTTTGTAGATGGGAAAACAAGGCCCAGAGAATTTAGATAGTTTGCACAATATTATATAATTAATAAGTGTCAGGGATCAAAAAGACCCAATTCTCTTGGCTATAAACCTATAGTCCTTTCCAATATACTATACAGTTGCTGACTGATATTTTAAAATATGACATTTAGAGCTCAATTTTTAAAAATTCTTGTCAGTCAGAATTCCCTAGGAGATTCATGTTTTGTCTAAATAACCAATACTCTAGCTTAAGTAAAGAATATCTTTTACAAATATTCCTCTAGAAAATGAAACGAAATTGGAAAAAACCTAAATATCCACCTAACAGGAATTGGTTCAATATATGAAATACACTTATATCGTAAAATGTTGTTAGATAATCTCAAAGAATGAGATAACTCTTCTTTTCATATAGCAGCATGAATAAATATGCATTATATGTGGTTAAATGTTCCAAATGCAAGCAGTAAAAAAGTATGCAAAGAATGATCCAGTTTTTAAAATTTTTAATTTGGTTATATAAGATGAGAATGTCTAGCATAATGCACATCAATGTTTAATCATGGGTCTCTCCAGGGATCCTAATGGTGGGAACGAGAGGGATAATTTCGTGACATGCTACATGTATTTCTGGGCTGATTTTTTTTTAAAACAGTAAGGAGATATTTGCTTTTATAATTAAAAATTAAAAGGTAAAACTAAAGAAATTGCATAAAACCAAATTCTAAATTTTACAGTCTTACATGACATTTACAAAGAAAAACTTTGTGGGTTTTTTTTCCAAATTCTTATCACATTTCTGAGGTGCAGACACTTTTTGGTAAGCAAAGTGTTTGGTATTTTTTTTTATTTTTTTATTTTTTAAATACCCCTCTATTTACTATTTTTTCTTCATTAGGAGTATAATAACTAATGATGGCTGTATAGTTACAAAAGTTATGTAGTCTTACATTTTTATCAAAAAATAAAGAAAAGGTTATTATATTTTATTATAATAAATACAGTGCTAGTTTATGCATGAAAATGATGAGTGAAAAAAGAAAAAGTTAAAGACTTTGTCTTTGGCTTTTGTTTTATTTGGTTTGTAATTATTTAATATCACTTCCAAGAATGTTGGTGCACACTCTTTAGTTGAAAGATTCAAAAGACAAAGCAATTTAGTTGTTTGGCAACTTTCTATGACTCTGCCATGCAATTTTAACATGCAATATTTCACCTCGTCTATTTTCCACATATACAGTATATTCTTGGAATAAAAAGATGTAACTTCATGTGGAAAATCATACTTAGTATGTAAAATCAAACTTGATAGGAATTTGGAATTCCTCAAAAGAAGACATTCCACAAATACTACATTTGAAGAGCCCCAGAATTGTCTATTTAATGTAGAAAACAGTATCAGAGCATCAGCTTTTAAACTCTGTTCTCATCTAAAGTCTGTTATAGCTAAGATTTTTGAAAAGTTTTAATATTATTTTTACTTTTGCTAAAATCTCTAACAACAAAACAAAGTTCTTAATGTTACACCTTAAGAATACACATTACATTTATAAAAAATAAAAACTTCTAAAGCAAAACATGTACCTGTAAATCAAACTATTGATGAGAAGAGAGATGTTGTTTCGTAAGTGGTGAATACTTCTTTTCTTTTCTTGATGCTAGGAAGTAAAAAAAAAGGTTTTTTATATATTTATTCTAGTAGATAGTGCAATAATTAAAAATTTAACAATTCCATATTAGCAACACTGTTTCTATTTAAATATGCGGTGTTCGCTTTACAATTACTTAATGAAAAGGACAGCCTCATTTTATGGAGATAACATTGCTCCCCTAAATCACAAAGCAAAAAATAGAAGACCAAATCAATAGCCAAAATAAAGCTGATGTATTGCTGATCTCCATTAATTTTTTACTTTGAAATACCATTTACATGTTTTGGTGTTTTAAATTTCAGCATTTTAGATAAATATTGACCAGGAAGTTCCCATGTTTTCTAATCAAATTTTTACAATAATTACATTATATAGAAATTGTTGTGCTATATATAGTTGTTCATCTAAAACATTGATGATAGTACATTACAAAAAAGAATAAGATCAGCAGCAATATTAGTAGCCAGAAATGTGTTCCTGGATATTCTTGTTTCTCTGAATTTTTTAATCCCACAAGAAACATTCAGAATGATAAACATGCATTAGAAATTGAACTTTGTAAATCAAGTGTTTGGAATTCAAGAACCTGAACATCAAAGAAGGTCAAATGGCATACTGTTTCACAGAGCCCTAAAACGACTAAATATGTGGAAAATCACATATTAAGATGCAAGTAAACACAATTTACTAATGATCATCTCTAGTGACATTATGGCTTTGCAAGTACACAGGCTTTGCTTGTATGCAGATTCAGGAAAATAACAGTGATTTGCCATTTTACCTGATAGAAGTTGCCTTAACTTCCAGTTCCATCGCTGTGAAAATACTCCTTCAAGCTTTTCTTACAATAAGAGGAGGATGGCTCATCTCCAAATGTTGAGCTGAGACACTTGAGTATGTTCTGTTAGATCAAAAATTGCAGAAATAAGCTTATTCACTAGGAAACCTACTTGTAGAGAAATTGGAAAACCAAGAAATGTTAAGAGGAAATAGTTGTAAAACACAATGGTGGTGGAGATATAGAGTAAGAATAGGTATATAACATCTAGGTGTAAATTTGAAGGTAAATATTTTAATAATGAAAGATTCAGGAATGAGAATTTTCTGATCGCACAATGAAGAACAATACAATTTGCTCATGCCATTGGCAATACTTGTCAAATAAAACCATATAGTTTGTGAACAGGAAGTATATTAACACACTTCACTTTTTCTTCAAAGATGTACACATGAAATCCATAAAATCAGAGGAAAATTTCTCAAACATGTGCATGCTTTTCTGGTGAATTTACTAAACCAAGAATCTAGTCACTCAACTCTGAATCATGGCAAAAATTTATCTCCCAAGTTACTGCAAGATTAGCTGGGTGCAAAGAAATGTCTGCTATCTAAAAAAAAAGAAAAAAAAACAATAAAAGAACTAAGAATCAACTTTGCTTTCTAGAGGCACAGAGACCAATTTTAGTCATCTCATCTGTTTCAATATATGTATGTATAAAAACAAGCCTTCTACACCTTAGAGCCATTGGTGCAACAATGACCAGAAACACACTTGGGAAAGCTATTCTATGATATTTCGTGATTGCTCTGCCTGTCCATTTTTGTGTCAAACTGCTCTTGGGGCAAAGACTGTAAACATCTGTATTAGTTTGCTAGGGCTGCCATAACAAAGTATTATAGGCAGAGTGGCTTAAACAACAGAAATTTATTTCTTACAGTTCTGGAGGCTGTGAAGTCCAAGATCAAGGTGTCATCAGGGTTGGTTTCTCCTGAGGCCTCTGTCCTTGGCTTGCAGATGGGATGGCCATCTTCTCACTATGTCCTCACATGGTCTTTCTCTGTGCTGTTGTACCTCTGGTGTCTCTTTTTACCAATATGCTCTTCTTCTAAGCACATCAGTCCAAATGGATAATTGTCTTCTCTAGTGGCCTCATTGTAACTTAATCACCTCTTTAAAGTCCCTATTTCCAAATGCAGTCATATTCTGAAATACAGGAGGTAAGGGTTTCAACATATGAATTTTGAGAGATACAATTTAGCCCATAACAGCAACCTTTGCACCCTATCCTAAACATCCATTTTAGTCTTTCACAGTCCCCTACTCTGCAGAAAATGTTACTTCATTGTTCTGAGTTCCTCAGTGTACAATGGGAGTCCATATTGTAACATTATTTATTTTAATCTCTGTTAAAATACAATAGTTACTTGTCACTAGTTGCTTAGGTATTTCTATAAACATAGTAACAAATACAAAATGATTTTGAGAAAATTGATGCAACTATATACAGAACTATAACAACTTGAATGAATTTCTCCATTCTTAGTAATTTTATCCTCCTACTGCTTTCTGAAATGCTCTCATTAAACTAATAATCATTTTAAATAACAAGTGGGTTTACATTTCTTTTTTTGTTTCTATCTTTTCATTAAAGTAGAAAGTATTATATTTTTGTTTTTACATCTATAATACCTACAATTTGTCATGTATAGGAAACATATTTGTGGATTCAGTAATTGTTAACTAGTAGAAAAATTTATAATTAGTGCTTAGAAGAATAAACAATTATTTATATATATACATATTACATGACTTGGTGGCTTCAGGAAAAACAAAAAGTTAAAATGATTATTTTTTAATTTAAGAACATTTTCAGACTGGAAGGTTTTCTATATTCATATTAACCTATGTTATTTTTCACTTTGGAAGAATTTTTAGCAAACCTTTCTTAAGGAAGCTATTAGCAAAAGATAACCAATTTATGAATGTATTTAGCTTCATGAAAATGTGTTTAATGAACAAAGACTGCTTAATACTTTCTAGAAAATTATGGGATAACTAAAAATATTCTTAATATATTATTACTAATATTTGTAATTCTCTAATATTTGTATTACATAATAATGATTATTAGATATAGTGAATATTGAACAATCACTAAAAAAGTGACTTTGATATTTGCAATAATTCCCTAATTTTAATTTCATTATTAATATTTGAAAATATGATAATTGCTGTCCATTATGGTATGGTTGAGCAATATTCTTAAAGTTTTAAAATGCATACATGATATGATAAAAAGCTCCCTATAATAATTAGTCTCAAAAATGAGCCCCATGATTTAGCTCTCAAAGGTATGCAATAGACCACATACATTAACAGCACCCTAGTGGTCTCTATGGGTCTCACTGACTTCACTGTACAAACACAGCACAAAGATCATAAATAACACTCACACAAACTCATTCACTTACATTAATATAAGTCTTCATATAAAAGACAACAGTAGCCACTACTCCCTATAAGGGGCCAGATCTAGCTATTTCATCCTAAAAATAATCACTTATTACTGCTAATTAATAATCTGAATCTTTTTAATTTATTTTTAAAATTCTAGGCCAAAAGAACATTTGTTAAAGAAAAAAGCTACCTAAAAAGTTGTAGCTAGATGAGTTGATTGTATTATTCAGAATATAAAGAGCAGAGCTTTGAAGTTTCCACGGTCAAACTGTATATATCGAAAAACACAGGATTCCAGGCAAAGCAAACAAACTAAACAAACAGCACTAACAAAACTATTCAAAATAATCCCTTTTTTCTAATAAGAAGTATCAAGTTTCTATATTTTTAATTTGTTACCCTCTTTCAGACATATCAAACATCAGTCCACTTTTTTATGTGTGCAACTTTCTATTTCATCATCATCTCATCAAAAGTACAATATAGGTTTATGTAAAACTTCAGCTGAAATGGCCAAATAAGGTTGGTAATTAAAACTGAAAACCAGGCTGGGCACGGTGGCTCATGCCTGTAATCCTAGCACTTTGGGAGGCCGAGGCGGGCAGATTGCCGGAGCTCAGGAGTTCGAGACCAGCCTGGGCAACACGGCAAAACCCGTCTCTCCTAAAACAGAAAAAATTACCCAGGCATGGTGGTGTGCACCTGTAGTCCCAGATACTCGGGAGGCTGAGACAGGAGAATTGCTTGAACCCGGGAGAGGGAAGTTGCAGTGAGCCAAGATCATTGCACTGTACTCCAGCCTGGGCGAGAGAGCGAGACTCCATCTCAAAAAAAAAACAAAAAAAACAAAAAAAAACTGAAAACCAAACTCATACGTTATATGGCATAGAAAGGTAGCACCAGCCCTGTCCTCAAAAATTTAAAGCAATATTTATTTCTTCTCTTTTTGACTAGGTACACTGTGACACTAAATCTTTGTGTCAATGGAATAACGTACTTTTTAGGGGAGAAAAAAGCAGAGGTGTATGTATTTACAACTTTGAAATCGAATAGGATTCTGTTAATAGTTCAGAGATAATAGAATCTATAGTTGAGTTGACCCAAAGGAGGTGGACATTAAACATCATGGCACTAACATAATAAAGGAATTAGGATGCATGATTTAATAAAAAATTTGTTTACCCTGATTGTATTCCCTATAAATGTTCAGTCTGTTTGAGGTCACCCAATACTTAGGAGTAAGAAAATGTCTAGCAACCTGTTGGGAATCCTAAGAAAAGCCGCAACATCACTTTTCTTAAAATGACAGTATACACAAATTGTAACTATAAAGTTGTAAAATTTGTAATACTCTCCTAAAAAATTCTGTCTTCCTTTGGCATGACTTTTTATAGGACACCAGTGCATTATCTTGATATCAACAAAACAGTTTTCCTTCCTAAAATGGCCCCAAATTTAGAAAAGAGGAAATGAATACTTAAGCATATGTATATCAAATCTAATAAATGAGTGTGCGTGTACGGTGGTGGTGGAGTGCTGGGGGAGTTTCTTTATCCTTAAACCAAAGAAGTTTGAATTATAATATTGGAAGTATTGGTTTTTTTTCCAATTTTTTTCAGGAGGGCTTCTTCATAATGAAGGCATTTTCTGTAAATGACGGATCAGTGAAGGCATCAGTTTGAAAATGTAATGTAGAGGGTACGTAGAAGTAGGAAAGGCAAGAATGAGGCTCATAATCAGTTAGTGCCTTTGCATTGTATTAGCAAAATACCATATCATCAATCTCCTTTCTTTTTCTGTGTCTGACTCTGCCACCTTCTTGGCGTGCACACCCGGAGGAGCATAATTATAGGCATGTAACATATGCATTGTGACTTTGAAAGTATGGAATTTAAATTACTTCAGTACATTAATCACCCTTACCCTATAAGTCCATTTTACTGTGCAAATGAGGAAAACCTACTGCTTGTTTACCATACTTTGAAAAACTTAAAAAAAAACCTGTGCATTGCTTAATTATTGGATTTGTAAAAATATGCTGTGATCAAATGAAATGGCCATTTAGTTTGTTCAAAGCTACTTTCCATAATCCATTACACAGCATAAATTTCACATAACTGCTCACATAGCAACTTGTAAATATACCCGTATATTTCCTTCATTTTAGCATCAAAGGAAAAAAGTGAGTAAAGATGTAGCATGTAAATCTCTTTCACTTACAGCTTTTCATTAGAGTTAAAAATCTCAAACTATTAGAATTAACTCAATAAGCCTACAATAAATTTATGTTTGATGGTATTTCCCTCTCCCTTTCTGCATCACTAATATTAACAAGCAAAAAGCTTGGGTATCTGGTAAATACAACAAATTCAACAAGATGTAAATACACTAGCATCCCTCTGAAACCTGAAGTAGTCATCCATTACATTCAAAAAACCTAACACAAGCAGAAGTCCAAATCTTAATCTTATTTCCCTAAATAAAATCTTATTTCCCTAAAAAAAATCTTATTTCCCTAAATAAAATAAGGGAAGCTTGGAGAACATAACTGTGGCTTTAATTATTATCTTCTGAAAAGTAGTACAATGTGCTCTGGGGCATGAACAACTAAGAAAGAGTAGAGTTCAGCGAGCGGTTCCATTTATTTCCTTCTACCAATTTAAGGGAGGAAAATGTGTAAGAGTTCTGAAAGAGAAAATAATCAAAACCAATTAATACACGCTCTTGTTCATATAGTTCAGATGGTGCTAGTCTCAATCCATCATCCATTAGATACCAGGTCCTAAAGTATTTTTATTTTCAGTTTCAAATGGCTGTTAAATAGCTAATGCTAAAGTGAATTTCTCTAGTGAAAATCATACTACATTTGAGAAAAAAACATCCCTTTTCCTCACCGCCAACTTTTCAGTTCTGTGGGTTGAAATGTGAATCCTGATTCTATAAAATTCACCCAAAAATCTATACTTTTCATCTATTTTTTAGAATTTTATATATTTCCCAAAAACTACTGACATTAACTTAATAAGATTAAAATAAAACAAATCAAGACTATATGGAGAAGCACTGTCCAATTGAAATGCAATGAAAGTTACATGTGTAAGTCTAAATTTTCTGGTAGCCACATTCACATTCAAACAGCAAAAAAAAAAAAAAGTGAAATTAATCTCATATATTTTTATTTAGCCCAGTATATTAAAAATATGATCACTTTACTATATAATGCACATAAAATGCTATTAATTAAATTTTTTACACTTTTATACCTAATCTTGGAAAATCAGTATATTTTACAATTAACCACATCCTGATATTACACTAAATTTTCATTAAAAATACATAATTTGTATATGAATTTCACAGAATTTACAGATGAAACAGTAGATTTACACACCCAAATTTCCAAACACATTTTGAAGTTTTTCAATAACTAAACCAAACATCAGATTTAAATTTAAATTAAAATAAAATACAAGTAAAAACTTATTTCTGTAATCACATTAGCTTCATTTTAATTGTTCAATATCTACATACGACTAGAAGCTGCCATAAAGGACACAGCATAATAGAGAAATAAGAAAAATTAAAACCTTAATAAGAAACACTGATGGCGGCCAGGCATGGTGGCTCACACCTGTAATCCCAGCACTTTGGGAGGCCAAGGCAGGCAGATCACCTGAGGTCAGGAGTTTAAGACCAACCTGGCTAACATGGCAAAAACCTGTCTCTACTAAAAATACAAAAATTAGCCTGGTGTGATGGCACGTGCCAGTAGTCCCAGCTTTACTCGGGAGGCTGAAGCAGGAGAATCCTCAGGAGGCTGAGGCAGGAGAATCACTGAATCTGGGAGGCAGAAGTTGCAGTGCGCCGAGATCATGCCACTGCCCTCCAGCCTGGGTGACAGAGCATGACTCTGTCTCGAACAACAAACAAACAACCACAACAAAACACTAATGGTTTTATTATCTAATTAAAGACTGAATACAAGATCCTCTCGATTTCTGTTATCTTTGTAACTTCTTGGTTAGTATGTAACTAAATTGCTATATATATAAACAGTATATAAACCCATTCACATTTTAAGTCTCCAGTTTATTGGTAATTTCTACCTCGTATTTAGGCAAATGCATTTTGAAGTTTGTAAAAATATTTAATATGATTGCCACTGAAAACATCTGAGTAAGGATTTTGGAACACAATTAAAAACAAATTAACACTGAGATAACATCTTCTTCATAGAATCGTAAATGCTTGTAGAGAAGGTCAACTATTTGATTTATTAAGTAATATTTATTATATCATTGAGTAATTTAAGTATGAAAGTATTTTTTCTGTCTTTTATGTTATCAAAGTCCAGGACAGTAAATTTAATACTTCTTGGTGATATCCCACAACATTGGGTAAAGTCATAGCGACTGACAAAACTATG
Source organism: Homo sapiens (assembly GCF_000001405.40). Taxonomy (NCBI): domain Eukaryota; kingdom Metazoa; phylum Chordata; class Mammalia; order Primates; family Hominidae; genus Homo; species Homo sapiens. The sequence goes on from NC_000002.12 coordinate 155,919,908, forward strand.
ATGACAGAAATAATTGTCTGTCACATTTTGAGAATGTATTTGTCAGGCATTGTATTAAGCTGCTTTATATTCACCATCTAATACTGAAAAACAAAGCCACTATGCATTCAGCATTGTTATCCTCATTTTATAGGTAAGAACATCAGCATCAAGGCTTGGAGAGGTTCAATAAAAGGCTGAAGTCAAATAGTTGTGTGTTTGAACTGGGCTTCAAATTTAGATCTGCTTGATTCCCCCAGATAAGTTTGTTATTACCTCACAATATTATTATCTCCCATAACTGTCTACTTTCACACAATATCTTAAAATGCTTACTTCATTCTGTATGTTTTCTTGTTTGTACATATAATCTGTCAATTTGACTATGAATTATTTTAACCATGCCCATGTCCCCTTTGAATTCTACACTTCATGTAAAAAGTTTTCAGTAAATTCTCATTTTGCTGAATTGAACTGAAACCTGAGTTCAAGTTCCCTACTCTGTTGTCAATGGCTTTTCCTTAGTAATTACCAGTGGTTACTCTTTTATTCTCTCTGAATTCCCATTTCCTAATATATATAAAATAAAAGAACTTGATTATATTCATGGTTTTCAAAATTGTATTTTAACAACAGAATCTATTATTTCAGGTAAATATTGTGTGGAATCACAATATGAAAAATAGATGAAAACTGATATATATGGTATTTAACTTCCCTTTCCTCTTGGTGGCCTCAGAAGAAAAATATAGGTCTAGACAAAACTATAAACTAAATCACAAGTATGGATGCTTAGTCTTAATCTTGTCTAGGTCCATTTACATCCTATGGATTTTTCTTAAAATAATATTTTTAAAGTACAAAATAAACTATGTATAAATAAAAGGAAACCGATCATACTGATATTTCATTCAATCATCTTACGGGTTCAATGTAACTCAAGTTAATAACTCCATCAACTGATCTTTAAAGTTCTTCTAGCAACTATATGCACAGGTGCAATATATACATAATGTACATATAGGAGCGAACAATTGATTAATACTCACTTTATCAACAAACATTTTTGTTCCTAGTGGGTGCCAAGCACTATTATAAACACAGTGAACCAGATGATGGACTTTATGCCCATGGACTTAGCTTATGTTTAGAAGTAGATTTATAATAAAATGTCAAATACATAAAATTACCAAAACAAGGACTTTTGATATTACTGTAATAGTAACAGGAAGACATCTGACTATTTTAATCTGCAACTGTGTGGACTTGAGCAAGTTACTTATTCTCTCTGTGTTTCAGTTTCCTTTCTGTAAAGTCTATATTATAATAATAGTGCCTACTTTTTAGGTTATTATTAGTTTTATCAAGATAATATTAATACATGAAAAATGCTTAGAAAAATGTCTGTCATTCTGAAAGCAATATATAAATGTTAGCTATTTAATAGGGAAGTAATCTAAGCATATATAAAAAGAAAACAATTATATATATATTTAATATCAACACATGTACATTTTCAGTATACAGTCAGCCCTCTGTATCCATGGGTTCTGCATCTGTGGACTCAAGCAACCATAGATCAAAAATATTTGAGATAAAATTGCATCTGTACTGAACATATACAGACTTTTTGTTCTTTTTATGACTCCCCAACAATAGAGTAAAACAACTATTTACATAGCATTTACATTATATTAGGTATTATACGTCTAGAGATGATTTAAAGTATACTGGAGGATGTGCGCAGGTTACATGCAAATAGGACATGATTTTATATCAAAGACTTGAGCATCCTCAGATTCTGGTATTCATGAAAGGTACTGGAACTCAACTCCTGCAGACACCAAGAAATGTCTGTATTATTATTCAATTCCTATTATTTCCAAGTTTTTATTTCATATACAATTATTAGAAATGTTTCAAAATAATTTTATGTACGTTTTGTCAAGAAAAATGTGAAAGTTGTATTGCATACTCAATTCTAGGAATTGGGGTTTTATGAAATCATTCTTGGCTGGTATTTATTTACACTTAATTTTCTAGTATTGGGCACCTTTACAATTACATAATGACTCCCATATGCCTACATAGAAAACAAGACTGCCCATTGAGTTCATTCATTTATCTTTGTCTTGGAATAGATTGCTTTTTCTTTTCTCTTAGTTGATAAGTTGAATGTGTTTTCTGCTATTATCTCTAAAATATTATAGTAATTCATGTTTCCCTTCAGTTCCAATCTCTATCACAAATTTCTCAATGTCTTATATCATCTTTCAACTACTTACATTCATAGTCTACATTTATTTTTAATAAACATTTGCTGAAGGTCTATTTTTAACTCAATAAATATGACAGAGTTCATGTTTGCTACCAAATTATGATGCCAGATAGTGAAGCAGCTTTAATTGATTGTGAATATTACAATCTTCATATTTCCACTGTCATGTCCGGACTTTTTTTTTTCTTTTTGAGACAGAGTCTTACTCTTGTCACCCAGGCTGGAGTGCAATGGTGTGATCCTGACTCATTGCAACATCCACCTTCTGTGTTCAAACAATTCTCCTGCCTCAGCCTCCCAAGTAGCTGGGATTACAGACGTGTGCCACCCGGCCTGGCTAATTTTTGTATTTTTAGTAGAGACGGAGTCTCACCGTGTTGGCCAGGCTGGTCTCGAACTCCTGACCTTGTGATCCACCCATCTCGGCCTCCCAAGTGTTGGCATTACAGGCATGAGCCACTGCATCCAGCCCATGTTGCCACCTTCGAGGTTTCCCTTCCCCTATGACTATAGAAATGACATTCATGATATACTGCAACATTTTCTATATTGATAAAATTAAACAAAAAGCAACATGCACATGTATGTTTACTGCAGCACTATTCATAATAGCAGAGACATGGAATCAACCTAAATGTTCATCAATGATATACTGGATTTAAAAATGTAGTACATATACGCCACGGAATATTATGCAGCCATAAAAAAGATCATATCCTTTGCAGGGACATGGAAGGAGCTGGAAGCCATTATCTTAGCAAACTAACACAAGAACAGAAAACCAAATACATGTTCTCACATATAAGCGGGAGCTAAATGATGAGAACACATGGACACATAGAGGGGAACAACACACACTGAGGCCTTTTAGAGGTTGGAATTGCAAAGTATTGTCACCTAGTTGATATTGTAATTATGACTTCAAAAGGCCATCCCACCATTCTATCAACCCAGCTTCTTCAAGATGATGGGGAACATGGTTTAAGACCAGTGAATTCCATGAGCATGAGCCCACTGCTGCACTTCTTTAAGCATTGTGTGCAGGATAGGCAAACCCATATCTGGAGTAAGTATATATTTCAGTGAAGACAAACCTCTGCCCTTTCCACGATGGAAGAAGTCCAATATAATCAAACTGCCATCAGGTAGCTGGCTGATCACTCCAAGGAATGGTGCCATATTGAGCTCTCAGTGTTAGTCTCTGCTGCTGGCAAATTGGTCACTCAGCAGTGGCCATAGCCAGGTCAGCCTTGATGAGTGCAAGTCCATGTTGCTGAGCCCATGCATAACCTCTATGCTTGCCACCATGGCCACTTTGTTTATGCGCCCACTGGGAGATGACAGGGATGCCTGGGGAGAGAGGCTGAATGGTGTCCACAGAATGGGTCATCCTATTCACTTGATTATTAAACCCCTCCTCTGCTCAGGTCACCCATTGGTGGACACTCACATGGGATACAAATATCTTCATGTTTTTTGACCACTCAGAGGACTATCCACATACCTCTTCCCAAAATTTCTTTGTCACCAATTTTCCAATCATGCTTCTTTCAAGTCCCTGACCATCCAGCCAAACCACTGGCTACAGCCCATGAATCAGTATGTAACCTCACATCTGGCCATTTCTCCTTCCATGCAAAGTGCACAACCAGGTGCACTACTTGAAGCTCTGCACACTGGGAAGATTTCTCTTCATTGCTGTCCTTCAGGGATGTCCTAGTAAGGGGCTGTAATGCTGCAGCTGTCCACTTTCGGGTGGTGCCTGCATATCGTGCAGAACCATCCATGAACAAGGCTATAGTCTTCTCTTCCTCTATCAACTGATCATAGGGAACTCCCCATGAGGCCATCAGTGCAGGCTGGGGGAGAGAAGGCAGGGTGGCAGGAGTAGAGACCATGGACATTTGAGCCACTTCCTTATGTAACTTACTTGTGCTCTCAGGACCTGCTCAAGCCTGATCACATATATATCACTTCCATTTGATGACAGAATGCTGCTGTGCATGACCCATTGTATGTCTGGATGGGTCAGAAAGCACCCAGTTCATGATAGGCAGTTCAGGTCGCATGATGACTGGATGATCCATAGTCAAACGTTCAGTTTCCACCAAAGCCCAGTAACAGGCCATGAGCTGTCTCTCTAAAGGAGAGCAGTTATCTGCAGAAGATGGGAGTGTCTTGCTCCCAAATCCTAGAGGCCTCCACTGTGGTTCACCTATGGAGGCCTGCCAAAGGATCCAAACAGCATCCTTATCTGCCAATGACACCTCAAGTGCCATTGTGTCTGCTGGGTCATATGGCCCAAGTGACAGAGCAGCTTGCACAGAAGCCTGGAACTGTTGCAGAGCCTTCTCCTCTTCTGGACCCCACTCAAAACTGGCAGCCTTTTGGGTCACTCGGTAAATGGGCCAGTGTAACACACCCAAAAAAGGAATGTACTGCCTCCAAAATCCAAATTCAGGTCACTCTATAAATGGGCCAGAGTAACACACCCAAATGAGGAATGTATTGCCTCCAAAATCCAAATAGGCGCACTAAGCGTTGTGCCTCTTTCTTGATTGTAGGAGGGGCCAGATGTAGCAACTTGTCCTTCACCTTAAAAGGAATATCTTGACAGGCCCCGCACCATTGGACCCCTAGAAATTTTACTGAGGTAGAAAGTCCCTGAAGTTCAGTCAGATTTATTTCCCATCTTCTGGCTTGCAAATGTCTCACCATTAAGTCCAGTGTGTTTGCTACTTCTTGCTCACTGGATCCAATCAGCATAATGTCATCAATGTAATGGACCAGTGTGATATCTTGTGGAAGCAAAGAGATTAAGGTCTGTCCAAATGAGATTATGACTCAAAGTTGGAGAGTTGATATAACCCTGTGGTAGGACAGTAAAGGTGTATTGCTGGCCTTGCCAGCTGAAGGCAAATTTCTTCTGGTGGACCTTATGGACTGGAATGGACATAAATGTATTTTCCAAGTCAATGGCTGCATATCAGGTACCAGATGTGTTAATTTGCTCAAGCAATGAAACCATATCTGGTACAGCAGCTGCAATTGGAGTAACCACTTGGTTAAGCTGATGATAATCCACTGTCATTCTCTGAGATCCATCTGTCTTCTGCACAGGACAAATGGGAGAGTTGAATGGGGATGTGGTGGGAATCACCACCACTGCATCCTTCAAGTCCTTGCTGGTGGCACTAATCTCCACAATAAGGGATGTGATATTGTTTTTGATTTACTATTTTTCTGGGTAGAGGCAATTCTAATGGCTTCCATATGCCCTTTCCCACCATAACAGCCATCACCCTACCAGTCAGGGAGCAAATATGAGGGTTCTGCCAGCTGCTAAGTATGTCTATGTCAATTATGCATTCTGGCACTGAGGAAATGATCACAGGATGAGTCCAGGGACCCACTGGATCCACTGTAAGTCAGACCTGAGCTACAACTTCATTAATAACCTGACCTCCAGAAGCCCCTACTTTAACTGGAGGACCACATGATGTTTTGAGTTCTCTGGAATTAATGTCAGCTCAGAGTTAGTGTCCAGTAGTCTGCAAAATGTCTGATCATTTACCTTTTCCCAATGCACAGTTACCCTGGTAAAAGGCTGGGGGTCCCCTTGGGAAAGGATGGGAGAAAGATTCTCTGCATAAATTATTGGTAGTGTAGTGGGATCCTTCCTCAAGGCGACCCAGCCTCCCCTTCATTCAAGGAGTTCTGGGTCTGTAAACTGCCTCAATTCTGGAAATTGATTGAGGGGTCATGACTCTGCCTTTGTAATTCAAATTAGTCTTTTGTCCATTCAACCTAGAAGTTTCCTGCTTGTATAAAGTAAGTAGGAATGCAGTAGGCTTTCTATTAATTTCACTGCTGAGATCACCATGATTAATTAGCCAATGCCAGAGCTCTACATGACTCAGACTATTCTGATTGTCGCTTTGCCTCTACTGTCCATTACAGTAGCTACACCCACCTTGCCTTTGGTGGTTGAGTGCCACCACTTGGCCCCTGCCACCTCGGGATCCAGTTATTCCCATTGTATTTAAATTTTGTAATTTAAATTTTGCAGTTGAGTGACTGCTGTTCCCACTGTTAGATCTGGCATAGAGAGAAGATCAATTACAGGCCTCTTCAAAGATGCAGGTGCTGCCCTCACAAATCTATTTCACAAGGATATATATTCTGGACCCTCCCAACTGGGATAAGTAGGTCTAAAGTGACTAATCCACTCCACCATCCCAATCTCCCTAACCCTTTAGATCCCTTCCTCTACATTAAACCAAGGAAGATCAGCCATTTCCAGCTTGCTCACAGTGGGCCATCTTTTAATGCATATTTCAGCTAACCAAGCAAATAAACTATTAGAACCTTTTTTTAACTCCTGAGCTGCAACATTAAATATAGAGCCTCTATTTAGTGACCCTAAATCAATAAATTCAGGCCGATCCAATTCTATGTTTCTTCCACCATTATCCCACACCCTTAATATCCATTCCCATGCCTGTTCTCCAGATTTCTGTTACATAAATTAGAAAACTCAAGCAGTTCTTTTCAAGTTAACACACATCCTCATGGGTCACACTCTCAACCTCACCGCTTTAGCCTAGGGACTGAAGTCTAGTTATAGGTCTAGAAGCAAACAGGGGTGTTGGGGGTGGCTCCTGAGGAGAATCAACATTATCTTGTATGGCAGCTGCCTCAGGGGAAGCCATCACTGTTGCCTCAGGCAGCACAGGATTTATCTCCTCAGACAAAGGTGGAAAGGCTGATGGCAGCATGGGTCGGGAGGGGATGTTGCCACAACTGGGGATGAGGAAGCTGTTTCTTCTAGCACAAAAGGTTCATCAGAGTTTACAAAATCAGTGCCCCTGGCTTCATCAGGGTCCTCCCACACATCCCCATTCCAAGATTCAAGGTCCAATTCTTTTCCAATCAATGCCCTCACATTAACAGTAGACACCTGGCAAGGCTGTGCATGCACCTTTCATTGCAGGTCAGCCGCTCACGTGATAAGAGCTTGTGTCTGTTTTTCCACAATTTCAGCTCCTTCTCTACAGGAGATAAGACTCTCTCTCAGGGTAATCTTAGCAGACTTGAGGCTTAGTATCTACTTTTGAAGCCAGGAGATGGAATCCCTGAGTTCATCATTTTCTTTCGTCTCTTTGTCCACTGAACTTAAGAGCAACCAGCCAGCTTCATTATGCTCCTAGGTTCTCCACATATGGTCAAAGGTATTATGTATAGTCACTAAACTCCTTGCCTCTCATGAGCAGTGAATCAGGAGTGTCAAATGCATTTATTTTGCATAACTCTCTAAACATTTACACCAAGGACTATCAGTGTTCATCATACTATTAGAAGTAGAGTCCTTAGCATTTTTGGGTCTAATCATATTAAGAAACCCACTCCAGAAACCCCAAAACCAATTAAAGAACTCCATCTTAATATTTTGTTTCTCTAGAACCCCTCCTGGTACCAAAATCTGCACTAATCAGGGTTCTCTAGAGGGACAGAGCTAATAGGATATATGTGTGTGTGTGTGTGTGTGTGTGTGTGTATGTATATATATATATATATAGGGGAGTTTATTAAGCATTAACTCACATGATCACAAAGTCCCACAGTAGGCCGTCTGCAGGCTGAGGAGCAAGAAAAGCCAGTCCGAGTCTCAAAACTGAAGAACATGGAGTCAGATGTTTGAGGGAAGGAAGAGTCCAGCATGGGAGAAAGATGCATGCCAGGACGCTAGGCCAGTCAAGCCTTTTTTTTGGTATTCTCCGTGTTGTCTATTTGCACAAGCAAACTTTGTCACCCCAGGTCTTAAATAATTTATGTTCTAAAGGGGTCTACTCTTTCTTGGTATTTCCACTTCTAGAGACTTCCCTTTAAGTTTCCACATGATTTTCAAACCTGAATGCTAATTTCTGGCATATTTTATTAATAAAGCTGTGGTTTTCCTACTGCAATGTCTGATTCCTCAATGCTGTTTCCTTCTGCTATAAGTCAGGGATTAGGCAGCTCACGAGCCAGAAAGCTGCAAAATCTCTTCCAGTTCTGTCATTGGACACTTTCTTGTGTGCTTAAATTTACATTTTTCTCCACTTTTTATAATTTTTTACATATTAAAAGTTCATGGGACCATTTGACACCATTTGTTGAACAATAGCTGAATCTCTGATGCAATTATTGTTTAGCGTTCATGGGCTAGATATAGAATTTCTAGTGGTCTTCTCTGTGCTTACAAAGTTTTATTTGGAAACCAGTGGTGTTCCACAGGTAGTGTTAATATTTTTTCTGATATGAACTAAATAAGGACATATTTGTGATTTTTAAAAATTAGATACACATCTTTGATCATTTTTATAAAGCCTCTTAATTTTGATATGTTTGTTATTGTGCTAATCAGAGTTGTCAGGTGAATGAAACCCTGCAAGAATCAAGAAACTTAAGTCAACTTTCGATTTAGTCACTAACCTATCTGCTCATGCATCGACATTTTAAAAGAATTTATTTTCTGTTAGAATACCTGTAGAACCAAAAACAGAAGGCAATGGAAAATTCAACATTTTGAGAAAAAGCTTCACCACTTATTTTGTGGGATTTTTATATTACAATTCAACATAAAATTTGTTGAAGGAGAACAGTATAACATAATAAGGAACACTGCTATTTTTCTTGCCAGGGAAATGAGACTTACCCTGGAGCACCAATAAGTGGATTGGTTCCTATTTTCCTAATACTTAACCCAATTCCTGTACAATGTAACATGAGTTCCACTGGCAAGATAGAAAGGTCACGTTTAAGGAGCATGTGTAGTTCTATATTATGGAGTTCAGTGTAAAATTTAAAATATATAAATTAGATCTACATTTTAAGTTCAGATGAAAATAATATAAAATGATTTTTGATGCATAAAGAAAAAATGAAAAAGATTTACTTTTTAATCTTCTACGAGAATGAAAAAAATGTTTTAAAACCTTTAAAATATTTTTTCCTAGGTGTCATACTCAGCCAAATTTCTTAAATCTTGGTTATTTACTTCTATAGTCATGAGTAGCAAGTGACCTATTTTTTCAACTGTCGATTTGTTCTCCAGAAGTTTGTTTTACATTCAACACTTCTGATATTTTCACACCATTGTAGCTCCAACTTGGCATACATAGTGATGCTCTCACACCATTCTATCTTAGAACTAGAATTTCACAAAGAAAAAATAAGTAGAAACTTCCTGTTTCTCTAAAGAAGTAAGAAAGAATTGGTGGTGTGGTAAGCAGATGGTAAAACTATGGATAGGGAGAAAAAATATATTCATGGATTTAATAATCCATCAATTTAGGCAAGTTATTAACTTCTCCCTGAGTATGATAATCTCAATTTAGTTCTGTAATGAAGTCCAATGTATCAAGAGGGCAGAGGACTTTGGCAGAGTAGATTTGTAGAATAACAAAATGGCATCACTGTTGGCAAACTAAACCACACATCAGGGTATTTCTTCTGGTCTAGGAAGAGTCTCAGAGTCAGGGAAGAAAAATCACTGTGATTGTAATCAGAGTAATAACAAAATTTGTTATCTAAACCTGGACATTTTTAAGAGAGAAACTCTGTTAAAAATTAGAGTAGGCAATAAATATAGTTTGACTCTACTGTGCAGGGCCCACTTTATGTATAGTCTTCTTAGCAACAGGCAATCAGAGAGAGGAAAAGATGAATGCCAATGCAGAAGAATCAGAAATGCAATTTGCCGATTTAGAGTACTAAAGAAAAGCTCCTAATAGCAATAAACAGTGTTCCTTGAAAGACAATGCTCTATGTTGGTAGCTGACTGAAATCTAAAATATTCTGCAACTCATTCTTGCAAGTTAAATAAGAGCCTGGACAAAATGTGGCATGGTATATCGTGAGGAGCTAGATATATCAAAATTATTTGTAAATAATCAAAATGATTTATGTTTCTAGATCTAAATAAAGAATCGCATATTCTAAGCCAGTTTTTCTCAAAGTAACACTAGAACTGGGAGATATAAAATGTTACTATAGATAAAAATGATTCCATCTTTAAATAAATTTGGAAAAGTATGATTTAAACAAATTAATACTTATGACTACAGACCATCACAGTCTTTAATATGCAAACTTCACTAACTCCAAGAGTGAGTAGTAATAAGCAATATATATTTATCTTAAGTCTGATTCCCCATTAGCAGAGCTGGAGACAGGCATTCTAGTGCAAATGATTTATTGAGGCAATGTTCCCGGAGCAAAATACTGTATCAACTGGAGACTACTTTCAGTTAGCTCCCCTCAGAGAGCACAAATTCCACCACAAAGTTAGTTCTGCTTTGTGGCAAGGTGGCTAGCCTCTACATGACCCTTTGTCAGTCAATCATTGGTTAGGTGTTGCCTGGATTGGGAGTGTAGGACATTCTACCTCCTATGTCAGACAGCTCCTGTTTAAAAAAAGAGGGTAATTCTCCAGGAAAAAAAAAAAAAAAAAGAGAGAGTGGGGAGGGGGAGGGGGATAGTGGTGAACTCTTAGTAACCCACCTTCATAGTAGCTGAAAAATGACTCTATCTGACAGTAAAAGGGACCTAGTCAGGGCAGTCTTCATCTGAGCAGGTAATTGTAGTTTCTTTTGCAACATATTAATAAGAGAAGTATTATTTTAACACACTTGAAAGAACACTGCTCTGAGGACATCATGCATTATACAAAGTTTTTGTATCTACTTTGCACTCTGTTACGCTAAAGTCTAGCATTCTGGCAGGGAAATCCCAAACTCTTCATTGTCAGATAGTTTCCAAGCAAATAAAACCACAAGCTCCTGGGGCAGAAATCTTGACATCTGGGATACTGACAGAAAATTAATATAAAACTAAACTTCAATTCATAAAGTTGAATTTTCAGATAATATAGAATCATCATGGTTGAAATTTTTTATTTTCTTGTTGAAAGGGGCTATGGAAGTCTTAAAAATTCCAGTGCAGTTTTTGGGTTGAAAGCTTCAGGAAGACATAGTATTAAATATAAGTAATTAGAAGTACTGTTTGCAATAAACAAATAAATAAATAATTATCAAAGTGAATTATATGTTGATGACCTACTGAGAGATATTTTTCATTTTAACTTAACCAAAAACCTAATAGTGTTTTTACCACCTGAAATATTCAAAATAGTATTCCAGTTTTTTTTCATTGCATTGAGATTACTTAAAATTTAAAGATCAATATTAAATAATCCAAAATTTCTAGAAAATACAAATGATTAATTGAACCAAAGAATTTTAAAATTTTCAAATGTAATTTGGAATAATATTGTTATCAAGTCAGTTATATAAACAATAATAAAATAATATTCAATATAGACATAATTTTATAATTTTAAAAAATATTATATTTCCCTATACTCACAACCAAATAAATTAACTTGAGAATATCAAAACTTAAGGTTATCAAAGATACTGAATATTTTCTTTGCATACAAAACAGAAAACAATAACTGCAATGTCCTTTGCCTTTTATAAAGTAAGTGGTTAAAAGTAGTGTGCTCCCAATTCATTTAAAAAATCAATAAATTGGGCTTCATCAGAATTAAGTACTTCTGAGTTCCAAAATGGTGCTAAAATCATAAAACAATAAGACACAAACTGAAAGAAAATAAATGGAGAAAAGATTTTAACAGGACCTTTTCAAAGAAGAAATACGTAGAGCAAATAAGCACATGAAAGAAGCTCATCACAGTCAGTCCTTAGGGAAATGGCATTCCAAACTTTTATAATGGCTAAAATTTAAACAATAATAATAAGAATACAAAAATGTCATCAGAATGTGGAGTTGGTGAGAATGTGGAGCAACTGGAACACTCACGCATTGCTGGTGGAAATGCAAAATGGTTCATCACCTTTGGGAAACGAGTAATTCCTTAAGTTATACATTTACTTATCATGTAACTTTGCCATCCCACTCCTAGCAACCCAGGGAAATAAAAACATGTTCACACAAAAACACGAATGCAAATATTTAAAATGATTTTCCTTATAATTATCAAAAACTAGAAAGAAAAACAACTCAAATGGGTACTGAATAAATAATATACAATGGAATATTAGTCAGCAGTGACAAGGTAAAAACTACTGTTACAGCAACAACATCATGGATAAACCTCAAATGTATTATGCTAAGTGAGAAAAGCCAGAATTGAAAGGTCTAGCACTATGATTTCATCTGCATGATATTCTGGAACTGTCCAAACACTCAGGGATAGAAAACATATCAGTGGTTGCCAGGGGCTGGGTTGAGAAAAAAAGTTGACTAAAAGAGACATGTAAGAAGTTTGCAAGATGATTAAACTTTTCTATTTCTTGATATTACAAAACGATATATGATTATCAAAACCCACACAACTGTACACTGAAAGTGGCAAATGTTACTGTATGTAAATTATATCTTTATTTTAAAGATGGGAAAAGGTAATATGTATTTACTTAATAAAGTGGTTTTTCTTATGAGAATATTGTGGCAGTCTAATTAATCTTCTTTTGATGCTTGAGCTTGAAGAAAAACCACATGCTACTTGCCATAGTATCCCATTTGTGAGAAAGCTCTTCACCTCCTTAAGACGAATCAATGAGAAATCTTCCAAACCAATCTTGGTTTAGTTGACCAGTTAGTGAGACTTTAGAAGTTCAGTCAACTATTATGAATGTACTTCAATCTAAATTTTTCTAGTTATATGTAATTTTTTAAAGTGTGATCCAATTGATTCTAATATCTGAAAATCATTGTCACATTAAAATGACTTTCCACTGAAATGGTCCCTTTTAATTAAAAAAATAAGTATTGTTCTTTATGAGACAAATCTGTCTACATTAGAAGACTTCAAAAATTAGTATTTATTCCAAGTATTCCTATACAAATTAGCACTAAATTTTGATAAATAGAAATTATACTTAAAGCCTGAATCTGGTTAATAATGACATTTTCACAGTTTCACAGGTTTCATGGAGCTCATCAAAATTAACTATTTGGACAAAAAAAAAAAAAGATGAGTAAAGGATCCAAGAGGATTACTTATGTAATATTCAGCTTGAACATTCTCCAATTCTTTTTCAATTGGACTCTATGTAAAAGGAAAAATCTGGAAGTGTCCCTGGAGTGTGGCTTGTGGCCCTCTAATAATCTGTCCAGGTTTTATAAATGAGAAATCTTGTCATCTTATCATAGAGTTCCAAAACATTGTAGCAAACTTTATCTGCTAAGTGAACCTAAATAATCCCAACTTTAACTTCAAGGAAATTACCCTTGGAAACATTTCACAGTTCTGCACATTGTTGAGGATATAAAAGTTTTTCCCCTTTCCAAGAGTTATTAACCCTCACAACAGATTCTCTGAAATCTTAACAGTAGCAGTTCAGAAACATTCAATTATAATAATCACATTTTTTATTTCTCTTCTAAAACTGTTTCCTCCAGATTTTACATAGAAAAACAAACTCAGGTCAAAAAGCATTAACAATTTATTCAGTTTGCAGCTGCCTAGTTCTTTATGTGAAATTGCTACTTTATTGACACTGTGGCGTACACATCAACCCTCAGGAAATGTTTTACAAGGCATACTTCAGATTTAAAGAAGTATGATTCTAAAAATATTCTTGGGATACCATATCAAATTCATATAGAAATAATAGAAATAATAGAAGAAATGCCTAACCAAAAGGTTAGCACTGTTCTTTAAAAACAGCTTCCCAAGGTTGGAAGGTTATGTTTTTAAATTTTAAGTTTGAACTTTCGGGAGGCTATTCTGGGAACCTATATACTAAAGAGAAGCAACAGTCAATCTCCACATATACTCCATATAACTTGGAAAGACTATAGTAAATTATCTAGTTTTAGAAAATGCAAGATATCCTCATCTAATATCCACAAGCATAATAAAATCTGGACTGTCACACTGATATCAATTGCACAATTCCAATCTTTGTTTCAATGAATTATTTCCACCCTGTAATTCAGACAACTGAAAAATTTCTCTTTCACACATCTTGATTTATCATCTCTGTGCCTTTGCTCAAATAGTTCATTGACCTTGAATGTCCTTCTTCCCTATCTCACTGTGCCCAAATCCCATTTTTTCTAAAAAGATCATGTGAAATGTACATTCCCCTATGAAGCCTTCCTTGACCACCCAACATTTGAGTAATTAATCAGATTCCTTCTTTGCTAGAATTTCTATAGAACTATATTATACCTAATGACAATTTTTTATGTTATAATAGAACTGCTTATATGCATGTGTTATATCCATTACTTGATTATAATATATTTAAGGAGACAAAATATTCTGATTTAGTTTTAATCCTCTCCCTCCATCAGGCCATACCATGCTTAGCACATGTTGAACTCTCAATAAATATTTGACAAATAGAGAAGGGAAGATGACAGTTCTCAGTTCAAGTAAAAATGAGCTGGAACAGTATGTATGTTCTGCACAATCATTAAAATGAAACAAGTCTCTTTGTTGCAGTTTCAATGAAAAGTTATTGCTGTTCAAGACAACAGAGACACTTAACTGAAAAGGTAGAAAAAAGAAACTATCTTTTCTGGTAATACTGACTCTTTATATTGATACTCATAAACACTTTTATTTATTCTTAATCACTGTAATGCAAAAACTTTATCGTGCCATGCACTGTAGACAAAATATTAAGAACGTAGTTTCTGTTCTCAAGACATGAAAAAATATAGGTTTGTTTAAACCTGGGTGTCAGAAAGGTAAAAATAAAACCTAATTTAATGAGAACTATGCTAAACATAAGTACAGGGTGTTTTGAAAATGCACAGCAAGGCATTACAGCTTTGGGTGACAAGGAAACTCCCTAATGAAGAGGAATTAAGGTATGTCCTCAAAAGTAAGAACAAATTTCCCAAGCAAAAAATAAGAGGGAAGTTGAGGGTGCACAGGGTACAAACACCTGGAAGTAAGATGGAGTATGATTCCTTCAGTCTGCAAGTATTCCTTCCTGGAGTGAGGGGCTAAAGAGAAACTATCCAAAACAGCCTAGCCCAATATGAAACGTGAGAGATCCATGGAGATGATGGAGACAGCTGGCCTGTGAGGCCTTCTCTAACTGCCCTCCCCGTCCAGCGTTTAAGGAGCATTTGTGGGTCATTCTCTGTAGATACTATCCAACAAATGATCTGACACTTGCTTTATGGCCTAGCATGTGGCCTATTTTGGTGAAAATTCTACATGCCCATATATTTTGTAGTGGTTGCACATAATGTTCTATACAAATGTTAATTAGTTCAGTTTTATTAATATTATTCAGATGTTCTATAAACTTCCATAATTGTCCACTTGTTCTAAAAATTACTGAGAGATATGTCTTCAACTATTATTAGGAATTTGTCTACATCTTTTTTGTCTATTTTCCCAATTTGCCTTCATAGACTTTGAAGTTAGGATGTTAATTGCATATACATTTAGAATACTTGGGACTCCATGAATGAATTGACCCATTTGCCACTTTGAAATGTCTTCTGTTATCTTTCATAATTCTCTTTGACTTAAAGTTTACTTGATCCAATATTAACATAGGGCAATATAGGTTTTGCCATGCTTTTACTTTGGAATTATAATACATGTATATTATATTTGGGTTTTATTTTATACTGCGTGACAATTTTTTAAACTGAAACTTTTATTAAAACTTTATGTTGTAATTTGTACAGTTAGGTTTAAATATGTTCTATTTGTTTTCACGTTTGCACACGTTTCACGTGGCTTCTTTATTCTCTCTTTTCTTGTTTTTTTAAGTTAATAAAGAACTTTTTTACAATTCCATTTTAAATCCTCTACTGGCTTTTTAGCTTCAACTTTTTGTATTTTTAATTAGCTACTCTAGAGATTACAATATACATTTTTAACTAATTAGAGTCTACATAAAGAAGTGTTTTACTCCTTTATAAATAAGGTAAGAACATACCAATAGCATACTTCTATTTATTCTCTTCTCTTATAATCTGTGCTGTTGGATGCTATATTTTACCTCTATGTATGTTATATGTCCTAAAATCCATCATCTTTTTTGTTGCATTAAAGAGTAAATTTCTTTAAAAAGGTTTTAAGCATCTTTAATATTTACCCAAATATTTACCGTACTCCTGCAGTCCCATGCTCTTATCTAGAACATTTTTTTTAACCTGAAAATTTTCCTGTAGTATTTCCTATAATATGAGTCTTCTGGCAATGAATTTTCCTAATCTTTCTAAAAATATCTTTATTTGATTCCATTTTTCAGTGGTTTTCAATGAATATAGAATTCTAATCTGACAATTATTTGCCTTACAACTTTAGAGTTAGTATTCCATTATAATTTTGGCTTCCATTGTTTGTATTTAGAAATAAGTCTTTAATCATTGTTGCTCCCCTGTAAATATTATATCTTTTTCCTCTGGCTGCTTGTAAGGTTTTCTCTTTAACTTCTGTTTTTAGCAATTACACTATGATGTACCTAGGTATGAATTTCTTTGGATTGATCTTACTTGGGGTTTGCTAAACTTCTTGAATATGGAGATTGGATTCTTTGTATCAGTTTTAAAGAAATTTTTGGTAATAATTTTATCAAAATTACTTCTGTTCTTTCTCTTCTTTCCTTTTGGGTCTTCAATTATACATGTTAGATGACATGGCAAAGTCTCACATCTCTGACATTCTTTTCTGC
Source organism: Homo sapiens (assembly GCF_000001405.40). NCBI lineage: Eukaryota > Metazoa > Chordata > Mammalia > Primates > Hominidae > Homo > Homo sapiens. The sequence goes on from NC_000002.12 coordinate 155,936,885, forward strand.
TGCTTTTTCTTTCTTTGTTTTCTCTCTCTACTACAGACTAAATCTCTTTCTTTGAGTTAACTGGGCATTTCTTCTGCCGCATTCAGTTGTTGTAAGCTTATCCAATTAACTCATTTCAGGTATTTTATTTTTGTTTCTAGAATGTCCTCAAGTTCTTTTTCCTTCAAGATTCCAATATGCTGTTGAATTTTTTTATCATTCTTTCATTTTCCATTTTTTTCTTTATTTTCTATTACAAATCTATGGTAGCTATTTTGAGTTACGTGTCTGGGATTACAGTGTTTGTATCATTTGTGTTTCTGCTTCTATAAAATAATTTTTCTCTGCATTATATGGTTCACATGATCTCGCATCTTTCCATATATTTCATAGTTTTGATTACATGCCACAGATTCTGTATTTTGAAAATGGTAGGTAATTTGATATATATTTTTCCCCAGGCAAGGCGTGTCCTGTTCTCATAAGGCAGGTAGGGTAAGAGGCTGATCGCCTGGATGTATTTGAGAACTGAGCTGTGTTGAGGCTGGTTTGCAGTATTATTTAGTATCATTTACCTCACGTTAAAATGTTTTGAGGGCATGAACATTCTTGTGTTTTATTGCTGGTCCCCTTTACAAGAAGAACTGTCTCCTAACCATCATTAGTCTGTGGGAGTTTTTTTCTCTGCCTTTCCAGGCTAGCTCCTTAGTCTTTCACACCCAACAAAATCTTTAAGGGAAAACTGATGGTGATGAGTGGGGGCACGATCAGTGAGTTAAGGGGTCCTGAGATTCCAGTGGTCACACTGGTCAGCGTGCTCACTAAAATGTCACTGATTTCTTCTCACATACAATCCCTCAGCCAAAGGGAGCTCCACATTCTGCTCACTTATGTCACTGATGCCCAAAGTGACTAATGCAACCAGCAAAAAACAGTGGCTACTAATATATATTTATCCATCTATCTTCCTCTATGGAATTGAGGTCTTTTAGATTTCTTATAACCACAGTTTTCTATGCCTTTTAACTTACATGATAGTATAGTTTCCTAGTTTTGAAAGTACAGATTTGCTGTAACTTTTCTGTATTCCAACCAGAAACGGATCTAGTTTTACTTGTAATCAAAATATAATGTTAGTAATTCAGAATGAGTTAACATATGAATATGTATAAATGCATGTGTGTATATATATATATACATACACACACACACGCACATATATATACACATATATAATTTCCCCATATATAATTATATTCACATATATAATTTCCCCAAATCTGCCCATACATCTCAGGTATTCCTAAAAGATTAATGTTTCTTAGGAAATAGAAAGAAAAATAGGCACCACCTGCATGGCTATTGCAAAGAAAAGTTTATTCACAAAGTCCTAGATACATTCTTAAAATTGGTAAATATAAATTTAAGAAAGCATTTCTTTACTTGGTTTTAAGAGCTCACTACTTCTGCCTTTTCTGCCCCCGTAAATAATACAAAAAAAAATAAGTGACAAACTCTTAATGAGCTCTAAAAAATAAGAGAGTTTCAAAAAGAGTAACTTTTGAAGTTGTGACCATGAACAATCATGCCCTTCCACACATGGTTACTTGCTACAGTGGTCAGAGCCAAGACACTGGGCTAAACCCCAGCTTGGAATCTGACTGTAACAAGGCAATGCTCCTTTTCCATCTTACGGTACAAATAGTATTTTTATGTCTCTGGGTACATTTTTGGAAAACGGAAATGATCATATTTGCCTCTGGATGATGCTTGCAAAGAAAATAGCTTATCTTAGAGACAGCATTTTTATAAGTACAAAAAAAGACCTCTTTAAAAGTGTTTTTTTTTAAAAAAGCAAACAATAGCAACTGTACAACTTCAACTCAAAGTTTACCAATTTTTTTTGTTAGGTCATTCCAAGTCAAGAGTAATCAGATGCACAAAAGGATAAAGAGAAATAGCTGAATTTACTCCAGTAAGGGAGACTTGAACAGCTATTGATTTACGGATACTGACAGACTAAACTTCAGAATTTTTACGACGTATAACCATGCTTTTCTTTGAAAACTAGAAAAATAGTATTGTATTTACAAATCTTAGAAGTAAGTTTTCTCTAGATGATAGTTGCAGATTAAAATTAAAAGACAAATTTGCCTTCTTTTCTAAGATGTATGTGTGTGTACATAGGTACATATTTTAAAGACAACTTCATTTCTTTAAATAAGTTATTGATAAATTATCACTTTCATTATAGTGCTTCCATGGTATTTCTTTTTTTTTAACTTTTATTTTAGGTTTGGGGGTACACGTGAAGGTTTGTTACACAGGTAAACATGTGTCATAGGGGTATGTGGTACATATTATTTCATCACACAAGTATTAAGACCAGTACCCAATAGTTATCTTTTCTGCTACACTCCCTTCTCCCATGCCCTACCACCCAAAATGAGACTTAGTTTCTGTTGTTTCCTTTTTTGTTTTCATAAGTTCTTAACGTTTAGTTCCCAGTTGAAAGTGAGAACATGCAGTATTTGGTTTTCTGTTCTGTGTTGGTTTGCTCAGAATAATAGCCTCCAGCTCCATCCATGCTCCTACAAAAGATATCATGTCATTCTTTTTTATGGCTGCATAGTATTCCATGGTATATGTGTATCATTTTCTTTATCCAATCTGTCAGATAAATAAATGGGCATTTAGGTTGATTCCATGTATTTGCTCTTGTGAATAATATTGCAATGAAAATTGTGTCTTTATGGTAGATGATTTATATTCATCTGGGTATACACCCAGTAATGGGATTTCAGGGTCAAGTGGAAGTTCTGCTGGGTCAAATCATCATACTGCTTTCCACAATGGTTGAACTAATTTACACTCCCGACAACAGCTTATAAGTGTTTTCTTTTCTCTGCAACCTCACCACTATCTGTGATTTCCTTTATTTTTACTAATAAACATTCTGACTGGTGTGAGATGGTATCACATTGTGGTTTTGATTTACATTTCACTAATGATCAATGATATTGAGCTTTTTTTTCATATGCTTGTTGGCTGCATGATTGTTGTCTTTTGAGAAGTGTCTGTTCATGTCCTTTGCCCACTTTTTAAGAGATTTGTTTTTCTCTTGTAAATTTACTTAAGTTCCTTATAGATGCTGGATATTAGACTTTTTGTCAGATACATAGTTTGCAAATATTTTCTCCCATTCTGTAGGTTTGTCTGTTTACTCAATTGAGTTTCTTTTGCAATGCAGAAGCTCTTAAGCTTAATTAGGTCCCACTTGTCAATTTTTGCTTTTGTTGTGATTGATTGCTTTTGATGTTTTTGTCCAGAAATCTTTGCCTGTTCCTATGTCCAGGATGGTATTTCCTAGGTTGTCTATCAGGATTTTTATATCCAGTTGTGGGTTTTACACTGAAGTATTTAATCAATCCTGAGTTGATTTTTTATATGATGTAAGGAAGTAATCCAGCTTCAATCACCTGCATATGGCTAGCCATTTATCCCAGCACCATTTTACTGACTAGAGAGTCTTTTCTGCATTGCTTGTTCTATCAGCTTTGTCAAAGATAAGATAAAAAAAGACGAAGAAGGACATTACATAATAGTAAAGAGTTCAATTCAACAAGAAGACCTAACTGTCTTAAATATATATGCACTCAACACAGGGGCACCCAGATTCATAAAGCAAGGTCTAGAGAGATCTACAAGCAGACATAGACTCCCACACAATAAAATGGGAGATTTCAACACTCCACTGACAGTGTTAAATAGATAATCGAGACAGAAAATTAACAAGGGTATTCAGGACCTAAACTCAGCACTGGACCAAATGGATCTGATAGACCTTTACATAACTCTCCACACCCCGCCCCCCCAAAAAAACACAACAGAATATACATTCTTCTCATCACCATATGGCACATACTCTAAAACTGACATCATAGTTGGACATAAACCAATTATCAACAATTGTAAAAGAACTGAAATTATACTAAACACACTCTTGGACCACAGCACAATAAAAAAAAAAGTCAAGACTATGAAAATCACTCAAAACCAAGGCACTAAAAATCACTCAAGACTATGAAAACCATGCAATTGCATGGAAATTAAGCAACATGCTCCTGAATGACTTTGGGGTAGATAACAAAATTAAAGGAGAAATAAAGAACCTTTTTGAAAATAATGAGAACAAAAATAAAACATACCAGAATCTCTGGAACCCAGCTATGTCAGTGTTAAGAGGAAATTCATAGTATGAAATGCACACATCAAAAAGTTAGAAGGATCTCAAATGAATGACCTAACTTCACAACTGAAAGAATTGGAGAAGCAAGAACAAATCAACCCCAAAGCTAGCAGAAGCTAAGAAACAACAAAAATCAGAGTGCAACTGAAGAAAATCAAGATGTGAAAAAAAATTCAAAAAATAAAGAATCCAGGAGCTGTTTTTTAAAAAAAAAAATTAATAAAATAGACTAATAAAGACAAAAGAGAGAAGATTCTAATAAATGCAATCAAAAGCGACAAGAGGGATATTAGTTCATTCTCACACTGCTATAAAGAGCTACATGAGACTGGGTAATGTATGAAGAAAAGAGGTTTAATTCACTCACAGTTCTGTAGGCTGTACAGAAAGCATAGCTGGGAAACTTACAATCATGGTAGAAGGTGAAGGGGAAGCAAGCACATCTTACCATGGCGGAGCAGGAGAGAGAGAGAGGGCTAGGGGGGAAGTGCTACACAATTTCAAAAAACAAGATCTCATGAGAACTCACTCACAAGAACAACAAGGGGGAAATCCATTTCCATGATCCAATTGTCTCACACCAGGTCCCTCCCCCAACACTAGGAATTACAATTAGACATAAGATTTGGGTGGGAACACAGAGCCAAACCATGTTAGCAGATATTACCACTGACCTCACAGAAAAACAAAAAACCATCAGAGAATACCATGAACACCTCTACACACACAAACTAGAAAACCTAGAAGAAAAGGAAAAATTCCTGGACACATACACCCTCCCAAAACTGAGCCAAGAAGAAACTGATTCCCTGAACAGACTGATAATGAGCTGCTAAATTAAATCAGTAATAAATAGCCTACCAACCAAAGAAAGCCCAGGACCTGATGGATTCACAGCCAAATTCTACCAGACATACAAGGAAGAGCTGGTAGCATTCCTACAGAAACTATTCCAAAAAATTAAGGAGGGAGGACTCCTCCACAACTCATTGTATAAGGCCAACATCATCTTGATACCAAATCCTCACAGAGGCACAACAACAAAAAGAACTTTAGGCCAATATCCTTGATGAACATTGATGCAAATATCCTCAACAAAATGCAAACCTAATCCAGCAGCACATCAAAAAGCTAATCCACCATGATCAGGTAGGCTTCTTCCCAGGGATGCAAGGTTGGTTCAACATATGGAAATCAATAAATGTGATTCATTGCATAAATAGAACTAAAGACAAAAACCACATGATTATCGCAATAGATGCAGAAAAGGCCTTTGATAAAATTAAACACCCTTCCAGGTTAAAAAACTCTCAATAAACTAGGCATTAAAGGAACATACCTCAAAATAATAAGAGCCATCTATGACAAACCCACAGCCAACATCATTCTAAAGGGGCAAAAGCTGAAAGTCCTAGCCAGAGCAATCAGGCAAAAGAAAGAAATAAAAGACATCCAAAGAGGAAGAGAGGAAGTCAAACTATCCCTGTTTATAGACAACATGATTCTTTATCTAAAAAAACCCATAGTTGTGGCCCCACAGTTCCCCTAGACAATAAATAACTTCAGCAATGTTGCAGGATACAAAATCAATGTACAAAAATCACTAGCATTCCTATACAACAGCAACACCAAATCAAGAGCCAAATCAGAAAGGCAGTGTAATTCACAACTGTCACAAAAGTAATAAAATATCTAAGAATACAGCTAACCAGGGAGGTGAAATATCTCTACAATGAAAATTTTAAAACACTCTTCAAAGAGCTCAGAGAAGACACAAACAAATAAAAAAGCATCCCATGGTCATGGATAGGAAGAATAAATATCATCAAAATGGCCATACTGCCCAAAACAATTTACAGATTCAATGCCATTCCTATCAAGCTACTAATGACATATTTCACAGAATTAGAAAAAAACTATTTTAAAATTCATATAGAACTGAAAAAGAGCCCAATTAGCCAAGGCAATTCTCAGCAAAAAGAACAAAGCTGGAAGCATCATGTTACCTGACTTCAAACTATACTACAAAGCTACACTAACCAAAACAGCATTGTACTGGTACAAAAACAGGCACATATACCAATGGAACAGGATACAGAGCCAATCTACAACCATCTGCTGTTCGACAAAGCTGGCAGGGCACTTGTTTTCTAAGCACAGGATTATAAAATTTCATTCTCCCTCTTCTATACCAAAGAACAAAATAGTTTTCCACATGTCTGTGACAGAGTTTATCCTTTTAATCTTATTTTTAAAGTAAGCTTTTCCTTTGAATTGTCATTGTTAGATTCGGTTTCTAGAAAAGCAGAGACAAAGTTGCAGTCTAAGATTCCCTTTCTTTTCAGAGAATTATAGATTATAAATTGCCTTTTTCATTCACTTTTTAAATAGCCATTTTTACTAAAGTTTTAAAAACTCCTCAGTTTGTATAGAAAATCTGTATAAAATATAGTACAAAAATAACTCACTTCTAAATATGCATATGAAGATATGGCTAGGAAAAAAAGAGATTATTTTATTTAGTTTAATATTCCGAGGAACTGAAAAAACAGATACTTGATTCAAATAACTCTTCTAAACAATATACTTTAAGCTCTCCCTATCCCGCACGAATCATTTTGGGGAATACAAATATTAACTTAGTATTGGAAAGATGGTAAGCAATAATGATTGGTTGCCGAAAACTATTTAAGATAGGTGTGATAAAAGACAATGAAGAGATGGTTGAAAATTTGATCTATCCTCTTTAAACTATATTAAAAATAATATTAAATAATTGCATGCAGAATGTTTACTCTTTGCATTATATTTTTAAGATCAACTATTTAAATTGATTCTATGAAAATTAACAAAAATGTTGACTAATTTACTTAAACAAACAGTACATTCCACTTCTGCTTCTTAATCCAAAGGCTTAAGATTACATTGCAAAAGAAATCTCAAGATATTGCACACTTGCAAAGCCTAAAATATGATTCTCAAAATCTAACTGTAGTCATTTAATGATGATAATATCCACTAAGTAGATACTTTAACTTGGAATTTTAAAGGTAATCTCAGTGATAAATTATTATGTTTCTTTTCCTCATAACTCCTGAAGAAACTTGTCTTTATTATTTAATCCTTCAAAATGTTAACTATATGGTGTAGTTAATGAATATTTTCTCATATCAAGTAATCAAAGTAGCATAAGAATCCAAGAATATTCCACTGGTCAATGCATGCAAAGCATTTGTCTCTGGGAGAGAGATTCAAGGAAATTCTTGTCATAATATCTAACTACTTCCTATGATGTTAGTCATACTTGTTTAAATAAATCCTGAAACTGTGTTGTCCATTATGCATATATAATTTTATGCATGATTTTATCTCTGATCTTCTGGACTATACAGTTTAATTCTGTACTACTTCTCAGCATTAAGAGCCTATAACCACTCTGTGAAAACATGGTAGAGTAGAAATTACACTAACTACAGTAACTAGCGCATAATTAGATGTGCCATTTAATTTCTTAATGTGTTTTTCATTATCTGTAAATTAGAGGGCTTGTTAGACTGAAAAGTATAGATGAGAATGGGTTCCTATAGGAATTTGTGTGTCATCCTGCTGTGGCTGGGAGTTAAATAAAACAATTTATTATTTTGGTTTCAACTCCCAGTTCCATAGATTCTCTCTATTTTAGAATTCCCATATCTGCATAAACTGTTATACCTTTCCTGAAGATAAGCCTTTCACTGATTTCCACCCCAAGATCTTCTCACACCAATCATATGGTGATATTAGAAGGTTTTACTGACCTTGAGAGGAAGGGGAATGGCTCAATCATCAGCAGATCCTCTTTCTATCACATTTTTCTACTATCTCCCTCTCCAAAGAAATAAACACATTTTTCTCCCTCTCCACCTACCCTCAATCTTCAAGTCCAATATCACACTAAATGTTTTTCCACTGATCTGGAGCCCTCTTTGTTTTACTTTCCATTCCAAGGTCTTTGAACAGGTTTCAAAGTATGAAAGCATTCATTTCCATAAAGAATGCAGCTCACTTTCCAGGAGGAGTTATAGTAACACTTTTTTTTTCTATTTTACTATCATTCGATTTGACATAAAACATCCTTGCAAAACGGCCAAGTTTTACTTTTCAGAGATTGTGTAAAAACATAATCTTCTTTGCACTCATGATTTTGTTAAAATTTGATTATGTTCCCCTCAAATTTTACCTTTTCAGCCTCTATTTATATATATGCTATGTATATATATCAGCTTCTCTATATATATATATGTATTTATATATGTATGTGATATACATATTAAGTATATACACACACACATATATGCTTAAGGAAATTCTTTAATTCCTTTTTTCAGTGTTAAAATTTCATTAAATCATTCTGACCTGCTGCCTTGAAAATCTCTTGGTCATTATGGTTCCAGTCGCTTTGAAAAAAATAAACTCCCATGCCCTTCTTTAATAAGATTAATACCAATAAATTAAAACAGGATGTTATCGTCTATCTTAATCAGGACTTGGAAAAAATATGGCCTCATAACCAGTACCTTTGTAAGACATGATTATGAAGCCAATATACTAAAGTATTAAAATCAGGTCACTAATAGTTCAAGATTTGTAAACTTAAACAATTGAAAGATTTTGCAGCCTATTTAACGTACTTTATTTTTGCAAAAGATTTGGAACACCTGTACACTCGTTAGGAAAAATTATTTTATAAAATTAATATTTCAAAATAAAACATGCTATAAACTCTACTTTCAACAGAATATAATCTATAGTGTATACTGAAATAAAAGCCATTGGAAGAGTTTAAAACAACCATAATTTATTGTTTTAGGCAAATATGGGTTAAGATTTGCAACGTACAGCTTCCATGTTACCATATAAATACAAAGGCTTTTTTTGCTCAGAAACAAACCGGTAGAAGTTCACAATATAAAGATTGCATAGGCATCTATAAGAGCTTTTAAACTATCCCTACAAAGCTGCTCTACCAGATATAGATTGAAAGAATCCATTATTAAAAGAGGGATCAAAACAGGCTGCAATTATGCCCAGTTAATCCCCTCAAAACAGTGTGGTATTTCTTCACCAGAGTAATTATTTGCACAGGAGAGAAAATAACAACCATATAGAACAAATTAAAACTTTACCTTCAGATGCTACCTCAATTGTTATGCAGATTTCACTCTGTACATTCAGTGACAAGCAGGGGCATCAAAAAATAAGATTTTTCTTCTCTAATAAAAATATTTTAATATTTATTCCCTACATAGTTGAAAATGTTATAACATTTCACATATTTTCTCTTTTATACTACCATATACATTTTAGCACACTCAAAGAATGTCTTTAAATACCCATGTATTAAAAGGGTGAGCAAATACATCAAGCATCCTCAGAATTTCTGTAGTCTGCACCTGAATGCATGTGCAAACACACATCAAATGACCACTGCCATGTACAAACTGCTTGTTTAGGCTTTTTTAAATACGACGATCACATGTTTAAATGTCATGCTGGGATTTAGTTAACTAAGGTGGCAGGTTCTTAAGATGGAGAATTTATTATGTTGAAATTTTCCAAATGTAAGACTGAAAAGGAAAAAAATATGTCAACTTTTATTTATTTCCCATATAAACACAGGCAATTTAGTTCTTCCCCAAAATACAGGCGGATTAGATGAGTTAGACAGTAGTCAATTCATTTTGCATAGGAATGGCTCATTAAAAAAAAAGGGCCCTGCATTTGTATTAAGCTCTGATTGGACAGAGCACAAAATGAATTTACAGTGTCACTCAGAGATGTAGCAGGACTAATGAGGGAGGAATGGTGCAGCGTAGGGTGGGTAAAGCTGTAGTGTGTTCATTCATTCCTTCAGCTGGTATCGCTTATGAAACTGAGGTGTCCCTCATTATGCATGTGTCCCAGGGGCATTCTTTAATATTTTAATAAATAACAACATCAGCCCAACAAGAAATTAATGAATAGTATCATTAATAATGAGCTGGAGTCTTGTAGTGATAGGACAGATATTAAATTGAACCACTGTGGTGCTATCTCTAGAGACTTGGGATATTTCCAGTGGCAAACAAGGCATCTGAATGAAGCAACCAGCTCTCTGTGCCAACAGCTTTTACAACAGGTTGGGAGTAATAAAAGAGGATTTTCTGCACGATAAAGTTAAGCCCTAGAAAATCTGCTGGTGTAGATCGGTGTGAAAAGTACTGCCAAACGTGATCCTTAATTAAACTTTAATTAAGATAAAGCTTTTATTTTTTTCTCTTCCAAGAAAAGTAGCAGCCAAATGGGCCTTGGCTATTTTCTACCAAAATCTAACCTAAAATCATTTTGTATTATACCATAAAAATTATTCTAGAATGATATTAAGGTGCTGACTTAAATCCGCCAAATGAGAATATTATTAGGAATAGCTGAAATGGCATAATTTCTCACCACAACAGTATGAACGTGTGTGCGTACGTGAAGTTGTATGAACAATGAAGGGGTTCTCTGTCTTAATTTCTCACTTTCTAGTATCCTCATTTTGAAATCACTTTAAAATATTTCAATTTTGCTTTGTAATATCAAGAATTTTTTTTCTTGAAAACAAAGATATGGGTTATACAACTTTTCAATTAATTTTGGGCCTCTGATTATATTCAGATTATATTAAATTGCTTACAACTTGAATAACTTATCATTTTTATAAAACTACTTCAGATGCTGAAAAAATCTTTAGCTTTTCTTCTAATTACATGACATGCTATTGTTAGTTTTATTTAGGTTAATACTTTTCTTTCTGTATTTTTGTAAACTAAGGTGGTATAATTTAGTTCCTGCTTTTCTGTTAAACTGTAAATTATGCAGAGATGTGTTATGCTGATTAATAGATACAAGACTCAAAAGAATTACTAATAACTATTTTATTCACATAGTTTACACAGAGTATTAAATATTATTATTGTGGAGTTTTCACTTTCTACCTACCTAATATTTGCTATATTGAAAAACACTAAAAGATGTTATTTCAAAATTAATTTTAAGAAAATGTGAACATTCCTTTTTAACACAGAAATCTACATTTGATTGTTTTAATGAAATCTATCTCTTTCAAATTTCTCATTCATATCCTGAATTGTTTTTCTAATTTCTTTGTATTGTTTTTCTGCATTCTCTTGTATCTCATGAGATTCTTTAGTATCATTATCTTAAATTCTTTTTGGAGGGATTTCATGCTTTTTCTTTTCATTGGAATCTGTTGCTGGAGAATTATTTGCTCCCTTGGAGGTGTTATATTTCCTTGCTTTTTCATGTTTCTTGTGTCCTTACTTTGATATCTGTGCATCTGGTGTAACAGTTGCTTCTTCCAATTTTTTGGATTTGCTTTCATAGGGGAGTACTTTTTCCTGAAGTTGTATCTGTGGTGTTGGTCGGGTAGGGTACTTTGGCTTTGATTCCAGGTGTGTGTAGTAGTGTAGTCTCTGTATGATTTCTTCAGCCTTTCCCTGCATTAGGGAGCCCCTCCTGGTTCCCAGTTGATCCCAGCAGAGCAGGCTGCCTCCTTCCCTTTCCTTCCTTGCTGTAGGTGTTTGCTGGCACTTCTTTGTTAAACTCCAGTGTTCTCCCTTAGATCATCTATTAGAAGTGTGATTAATATCTACTCATTATTTTGGTTCTTCTTTGTGGAGGAGGTGAGTACCAGGTGCCTCTAGTCAGCCATCTTGAAGCTCTTCTCTCCCTTTCATATTTTAATAGAATAAAAGATGGTTTTAAGGTCTATACATGGCTGCAATGCTCTATGGTTTTTATTCATGTTCAATGCTCTGTGTTTTTTATTCATTTTCAATTACATGCTTTATTACATAGTGTCAAATTTTAAACAGTTTGCTCCTCAATGACAATTTTCAGACATAAGAATTCTGATAATAAATTATTTGAGTATAATCTGTGCAATTTTATTATGTCTTTGTAGTTTGTCACTAATTTTTTACATAATATAAAATTAATGGCTGTCACTTATTTTAGAAATGGTTTTTGTAAGCTTTCAGGCCTCCTTCTGTTAACCAAGAATGAACACTGTCAATAGAAAGTATACAGGATTTTATCCACCATATGGCCTTTGAACAACGGAGGCATGGAGCAATGCAGAACTAATGCTAACCTAAGAAAACAGCATCTTCATTTTCTCCTTCTTCATATAGTTTCCACACCAACTCTAGGACAGTTTAGGAAATAAACATCTCTTCAACTTCTAAATAGCGGCAATTGGATAGGGTGGACTCATCTATAAGGATATATAGATAGAGCTCATCTATAAGGAGAGCTATTATAAATGTTTGTTTTATTGTAAGTACTATGTCATTAAAAAATAGTCAAAAAAAATGATAGAGTAGTTCTTGTCAACTTCTGGCTTAGATAAAGAACAATGGCTAGAAGGCTCAAGGTGTGAAGAAGGAAGTAGAGAACCTTGTTAGTTTTCCCCAATCTGCTTGTAAATAGTGACAAGGTGCTCCTGGGAGGAAGCTGAGTCAATGAGATGAGATCAAGAACAGGACTCTCAAATTTAGCGAAAAGAAAGTTATTCACTGCCCTATGTATCTCATTTTATTTGATCTGAATCAAGTTAATTATGCCTCCTTTTTACAACATGCATACACAGATCTCAAGTCAAATAAACTTTTAAATTAGTTCTACTCTAGAGAGCTTTGAGCCATTTCCAGCTCACAGATTATATTCATTCACACAAGGAAGGTTAGTTTTTCAAATTGAGTTTCATCAAATGTGTGTCAGTAAGATCCTTTTTGACTGCATAACTGAATTAATCTATTGTTTATTGAAAGAAAAAAATTATAGTGCATTATGTTACATGTCTTTATGATCACAATAGCATAGTGTCTCTAGAATAACATAGTGTCAATAGAGTAACAGTTAACAAAGCATATTCTTATTGTGCAGCTGAGGCAAAATAACTCATACAACATTCTCATAATCTTAGCATTTATGTATTATTTGTAATCTCCATCTTGATGCCAGTAATTCATATGGATGATGATTGGACCCTCCCACATGTGAAACACTAAGTACAAAGATGTTCAACACACAATTATTTATAACAGGAAAAATTTAGAACTACCCACAAATTACAACAGTGAGCTGATTAAGTAAAATATGCTGTATTAAATCAATAAATTACTCAGTAACAATTTAATTATAAAAATTACTATTTTAGGACAGGCACAGTGGCTGATGCCTGTAATCCCAACACTTTGGGAGGCTGAGATGGGTAGATCACTGAGGTCAGTAGTTCAAGGCCAGCCTGGCCAACATGGAGAAACCCCACCTCTACTAAAAATATAAAATTAGCCTGGCATGGTGGCGGCACCTGTGGTCCCAACTACTCAGGAGGCTGAGGCACAAGAATTGCTTGAACCTGGGAGGCAGAGGTTGCAGTGAGCCAAGTCTGCGCCACTGCACTCCAGCCTGGGTGACAGAGTCAGACTCTGTCTCTAAAAAAAAAAAAAAATTACTATTTTAAAATTCAGTAAGATCATAAATACTTGTGTTATAAAGTTTCAATATTAAATTCAAAATTATGACAAATAAAGAAAAGACATGTATAAGAATGTTCATGCCCGGCACAGTGGATCACGCTTGTAATCCAAGCACTTTGGGAGGCCAAGACGGATGGATCACGAGTTCAGGAGATCGAGACCATCCTGGCTAACATGGTGAAACCCCGTCTCTAATAAAAATACAAAAAAAAAATTAGCCGGGCATGGTGGTGGGTGCCTGTAGTCCCAGCTACTTGGGAGGCTGAGGCAGGAGAATGGCGTGAACCTGGGAGCAGAGGTTGCAGTGAGCCGAGACTGTGCCAATGCACTCCAACCTGGCGGACAGAGCGAGACTCCATCTTAAAAAAAAAAAAAATGTTCATAGAATTGTTCACAGGAGTAAAATTTGAAAAGGTTCAAATGTTTATCAGAAAAGAATAGATACATAAACTTGTATATACTCATACTGGAATATTACAGAGTAGTCAAAATGATTTTACAGTGACATAGAACAATGTGGTTGAATCTGAACACCTATTAAATAAGAAAAGAAAGTCTAAAATAATTAGTTCAGCATGACACCTTTTGTACAACTTTCTTTGAGACATGGTCTCACTCTCCTCCAGGCTGCAATGCAGTGGCGCTATCATAGCTCACTGTAACCCCAAACTCCTTTGTTCAAGTGATCCTGCCAATTCAGCCTCCCAAGTAGCTGAGACTATAGATGCACGCCACCATACCCAGTTAATTTTCTTATTTTTGGTAGATATGGGGTCTTACCATATTGCCCAGGCTTATCTAGAACTCCTAGTCCCAAGCTATCTTCCTGCCTTGGCCTCCCAAAATTCTGGGATTACAGGCATGAGCCACCATGCCCAGTCCCTTTGTACAATGTTACAAATTGCACACACACACACACACACACACATATCACATAAATGCAACAACAATGTATAAAAATGAAAGCTAAATAATCATAAATATGGCTTCAGGGTGATACAATGTGGGAAAGCTTATAAATAAGGGTTTCAGTTAAATTCCAAGCTGTGTGGTATATTCACAGGTTTTTATTAAATAATGCAGATAAATTGATGATGATGTGATGATGATAAAGATAGGCAGATGATAAAGATAGATATAGATAGATAATAGAGATAGGAAAAAAGATAGGTGATAGACAGATAGATAGATAAGAAAATAGGAGGGCTAATGATCAGGGTAACATCACTGAAGATTATGATTAATCCATTTCTATGTACCTAAATCCTGAGATAGAATATGAAAGTGAAAAGGGCAGTACGTTATATTGGTTAGGAGCATAAAATTTTCAAGCAGGGTGACAGGTTTGAGTCCCAATTTGAGTACATAATAGTTTTTGAATAGAAGAATAATTATTTAAACTCTTCAAGCCTCAGGCTCCTCATATGTAAATGGAAAAATTATCAGTATCCTTCTCACTGTTGTAAAGCATATTATATATAAAGGACTTACAAAAATGCCTAGCATATAATATCTCCTCAAAATAAATGTTAGGGTCATTAACCGTATGCCAAAATAATATTTAAATAAAACAAGCATAGAGAAAGACTAGAATAAAATATTTCAAAATGTCGACATTGGCTATTTTTAAACAGGAAAGTGGTTTTGTTTTCCTTTTCATTATATGCTAATGTTTCTCTAATGAATATTCATTAGATAACCCTAATAACAGAGGCCTTATCCCTGAGAGACTGAGCTTAAGACATGACAATCGAATAGGACATTCCAAGCTAGGTATGCCAAGAACCAAATGAGTGAGGGGAAACAGTCACACTATAGACTCCAGAAGGATGCTCAAACAACCCTGACAGGAGCAGCTTGGAATGTTCACAAAGAAGATGGGTCTTGGAGAAAGAGTATATAATCTAACTAAAACAGAGAAGCAGGCTTAGATTTCAGGCAGACAAAGTGATGTGAAGAAATGGCCTAAAGCCTACCTATTGTACTTTTAAAACAATGAGTAAACCATTTAGTTATAAAAATAGTTTTGTAGTGGATATAGGAAGTGATAGATTGTAGTGAATCTTAATTCCTGAAGCAGAGAGTTTACATTTTGTCTTGTGGCATGGGAGCCATGGAAGATTGTTGAGCTAACTGATAAAGAAGTTTAGAAAGGTGAAACTGCTGTATGGTGTTTTCTTAGATTGACCTTCTCTAAAAGCAAATGTTGAGACTACAGCTTGAGTTTATTTGGTGGAAATCTCAGGACAGAATCGATAGAGAGAGGAAGTGGGACAGGAAGGGAGAAAGGCATGAAAGGTGCATTAGTGAGTGAGCTATCATTGTGAGCAACTTGGGCTCAGCATCACTGGGTAGCCTGTGAGAAACCATGAACACATCTCATAATTATATTACAAATGCTCCAGCCTATCCATGCCCAGGATGATCAGGCTGGGTACTTTTCCATCCACTTCTACCCCTTATTGATTGGAGGTTGGCCCTGAGAGTGTTAACTTCCTGGTATTTTTACATTGCCCTGTTTATGGTCAAACAAGTTCCTGGATGGTACAGAAAGCCCTTAGGCAGAGATGGAGAGAACCACAGGCGCTTGAGCACACCTAGAACGGTCTACCACATGTAAAGGTGAATTTAAGAAGACCAAGAAGAAATGAAACAAGACACCACCAATTAATTGGGAAAGAATGAAATTGGTACAAGAGAACACATTTAACAGGACATTAAGCACTGGGAAATCTGCATCAAAACCCCCTTTAAAATAACTGTGTTCCGTGCCTTATAAGAATGAAACTGTGTTCTGTGCCTTATAAGAATGAAACAAGACACCACCATTCATTGGAAAAGAATGAAATTGGTAGAAGAGAACACATTTAATAGGGCATTAAGCACTGGGAAATCTATATCAAAACCCCCTTTAAAATATCTGTGTTCTGTGCCTTATAATTTCATTTTTAACATCTAGTCTAAGAAAATAAAATATATATAAGGATTGTGCAAAGATATGCTTGTCAAAGAACTATTTATACTGTTGAATTTGGAGGCAATTTCTAACCAAAGAGTTTGGTGAGGATGATGATGATGATGTTGATGATAGTGGTGGTAGATGATGATGATGATAATGGTAGGGAGGGTGGTTGGCAATGGCGATAATATAAAATAATAATACAAATAGTTAACATTTGTTGAATACTAAGAGGACGCCTGGCATGACTCTATGTGTTCCATGACTATTATCTCATTTGTTTTTCATAATAATCCTATGGTATTAGTTTCCCTATTTTATGAGTGAAGAAACTGTGATAGAAAGAATAAGTACCTTCTCCAAAATATTGCATCTTTTGTAATAGTTGAAAGAGGCAGAGCCAAGAATCAAACTCAGACATCCCGGCTCTAAAATACAGAATATTGTAAATCAATGGAAAATGAGATTTACAAAGAATTTGTGGTCATAGGAGAAGTGCTTATAATGCCACATTAAGTTAGACTAAAGCATATAAAATTGCATATACATAGATATGAATTTAGGCTGAATTTAGAATACTAGCAATATTTTGAGCTGAGCCTATATAGATTTCTCTCTAACTACAAGTACATAAGTACATAGAAATGCTAGCTAATAGACAACACTTAGAAGTTAGTAGAAAGAGAAATTCCTGAGTGCCAGAAGAGAAAATCAAGTTTAGAGCAGATTGCTACTATTACAAGTCAATGCTGCAGAAGCCCAGGTGAAATTGCTTCAAGATTTAGGACCTATAAACGAGAGAATGCAGCTTTAATACTCCATAAGGAATTTTTTAAAAATCTACTAGGTCAAGAAAGATTTACGCCTTATCTAGGTAGAAAAATAAAAAGCTATCTATGAGGAGAAATCAAAAGCACAAGCCTGTAATAAACATGGATGTGAATTCAAAATTTTACCAACATTCATCCATTCAACAGACATTTGTAATGTAAAATAAAACAATTATAACAACCGTAACTTGAATTTTCTGTCATTAAAGTTAGGTGAACCTAAAATATGAAACAATAGTATCATGGAAATGAAACTGTAAGGAAGAAATTTCAGTTAAAGTATGCTGACAGTATGGCATGGAGAGGATAGCTATGCTGATGGACTTATTAGGTAAATTATGCATGCTAAAAATTCAAGGGTAACTGCTAAAAGAAAGAAAGAAAGAGAGAGAGAAAATGCTGGTGGGGGGGTAAAAAGTCAATAAACTTAATAAAGGGCAACAGAGGAGAAATAAGAAAGAATATTGTAATCAAAACTCACAAAACAAGATGATAGAACCACCATCTAAATATTATTAGTTATCCTAACAAATGTAAAACAATAACATTTTTAATTTTCTCAGGTTAGATTATAAAAATCTGTCCATATGCTCTTCGTAAGAGACACACCTAAAACCAGGGAAATAATAATCAAAATGAACTGGTATGAAAATATTAGTATCAGACAAATTAGTCTTTAAGTCATATGCAATTTAGGGGGAAAGAAGGTCATTAAATTACACAAAAAGAACAATTAGGAAGGTATAATATTACTAAAACTACATGAACTTAGAAAGATAGTCTCAACATACATAAGAAAAAAACTATTATTAAGAATTTGAAACATACAATCATACTGGGAGATTTTAACTTACCACTTTCAGAAACCAAAGTGAGCAGAAAAAAATTTTTTTAAAGTTTACATATTTGAATGACTAATTTATCATTAAAGAAGATACTGGTAAGATCAACAAAAATTCTGGAAATATCATACATTTCTTGACAAGGAATCATATAGCTCAATCGTTTGTCAGAAAAAAGAATCAATTGCAGTACATTTTATGTAATCACTACTTTCTTATGTTTTCTGAACATATTTGGTAGTCCTAAGCTTAGCTAATGGTTCATGGTATAGTGGTCAGATAACTCTCTATAGACTGGAAGTGCCTCAAGGGGATATTTCATTAATTTTGGTGCAATATATTAAAGATAAGGACAAAGTAATAAAATTTTGTGAATTAATCTAATGCTATCAGATGTATTATTAAAATTCCTTTAAAGCAAGGAAAAAATAGCATTATAGATTACTATTTTGCTGAATACGTGTGTGTATGTATGTACACATTTTAAAAACTACACTTTTTTTTTTTTTTTTTTTTGAGACAGACTCTCACTCTGTCGCCCAGGCTGGAGTGCAGTAGCGTGATCTTGGCTCACTGCAACCTCCGCCTCCTCGGCTCAAATGATTCTCCTGCCTCAGCTTCCCAAGTAGCTGAGATTACAGGCATGCACCACCACACCCGGCTAATTTTTGTATTTTTAGTAGAGATGGGGTTTCACCATGTTGGCCAGTCTGGTCTCGAACTCCTGACCTTAAGTGATCCACCTGCCTCGGCTTCCCAAGGTGCTGGGATTACAGGCATGAGCCACCGCACCTGGCCAAAATACACATATTTTTTAAAGTATGCTGATGTATATAGCAGTAAATCTGATAGTAATTATATGCATTTATACATGTACCAATTATCTCTAGATGAATATACAAAATGTTGGCAGGAGTGATTGCTTCTCAGGAGGGATACTTAGTGGCTGGGAAACAGGCAAGAGGAAAGTTAAGTGTGCACGGCATACTTTCTGTTCATTTGGAACCACATACATGTTTAACTCACTCAAATAATTAAAATGTACAATCAAAATGCACTTATTAGATGAAATTTTAGTGACGGTAAATAATTTGTACAGCTTAATATTTTTGTCTGAAAAATTAATAATAATAGCAATAATGCTATTGCATATACAAATAGGATGCCAATGATGTAAAAATTATGCATAGAAAAAACAAATTTATGCAAATATACTAACAGTAGAACACTCTGGGTGATAAAATATGGAATTTTGTTACTTTTGTATTTTTTCTGAATCTGTATGTGTTTTACATTGAATATGTAATTTATTAAAAATCAAGGAAAAATACTCTTTAAAGGGAATACTATTATAACCATGAGCTTAGATATTAATAATAGAATTGGAAAAGACATTATAAAAAGGTTTTTTCAACTGTTTGGATATTGACAGACAAATTTTAAAAAGGATAATTCTGAAGTTTGGCTTGACCAAATAGCAGTAATTAACAGGAACAGGGAAATTAAGAGGAAAGGAAAAGACATTTGAGTTTAAAGTAATGACAAGACATAAAGTAGAAATGTCCAGCAATTTTTCAGGAGTTTTAAGAATAAATTTTTAAACAGAATCACCAAGAGAGTTAATGAGCTGTTGTTTGGATTTTAAGGCCTTTTATTAACTGGCCCTACTTTACTACTACAAGCTTAAATCCAGGACAGCAATAATAAATCAACAGTAAAAATTCTGAAATACATGATTGGCAAGTTACAAACTGATTTATTACATATTATCTCATTCACACTATGAAGAAGAAAAAACTGTTACATGATCTATTTTACCAATGAAGAAATCGAGGTTCAATGAAGTCATTGAGTACTTTGCCTTAGGGCCTAGAATTCAGGTCTCCAACTCTCTGTAGAGAATTTTGAGTGAAGTTTGTATTAACTCCAGCCAAGTGTATGCAAATAAAATAAGATATTTTCTAAATAATATCTAGATGTGAGTATATTTTAAATCTGAACCTCTGTAAATAATTATTTTTATCCTTAGATTAGTTTTCTATTTCAGCAATTTCATCATTGATTTCTCTCTTTCCTATTTCAAAATATAAATTTAAATGTTACATAATTTCTTATTCTGTTAGCTAATTTGGTTATTCTGAAAATGGTTTACAAACTGTAGAACAACACTATGGGGCATTTTGAAGGGAATAACCTCATAATTTTTATGCTTTATTATCTCATATATTATTGCCATGAGCATAGTGTCAACATTCTTGAAATAGAATTATTAACTTTCATTGGAGCCTATTTCACAATATCATAACTGAATCAATGTGGAATGGTAAGTAAATAATTTTGCACAACCTCTGCCTCCCAGGTTCAAGCAATTCTCCTGCCTTAGCCTCCCAAGTAGCTGGGATTACAGGTGCCCACTACCAGACCTGGCTAAATTTTTTTTTGTCTTTTTAGTAGAGACGGGATTTTGCCATGTTGACCAGGCTGGTCTCGAACTCCTGACCTCAGGTGATCCGCCTGCCACAGCCCCCCAGAGTGCTGGGATTACAGGTGTGAGCCACTGCATGGGCTTTTTCATTCATTTCTGATCTTAGTATTGAAGAATCCTGGTTCCTGTTTATAATACTGCAGAATGCAAACAAAACGAATGCCAATCACCATTATTTCCAGAAAAAAATAAAGATAAAAGTTCATTTTATAAATGGCGACACAGTCTCTCAGCATGTCAATGAACAGGATATCTTGTTATCAGCTCTTCTTATATAAACAGATCAGTTAAGGTGGCAACGTTTGAAATCATCTGATGATTTTGATCACAGTATTGCCATAGTGGTTTCTGAAGATTCCTTGATTATAGATTATGAAAAGGCATCTAAGTACATAAAATAAACACCCATTTGTGGAGCCCATTGACAGATATGACTTCTTTCAATTTTAAATAATAATCCTCTACCTCTCTTTAAAGGGAAGCAGCATTTGGTCTGCGTTCTCTAATTAATTCTTGCAACTAGAAATGAACATTTGTGATTCTTGAACTCACAGACTAGCTAAGGAAGAATTTGTTGACACTGACAGCTAGATTTTGAAAAGAGGTTTCTACTAGGCCTCTAACCAAGGATATAGAAACTGTGAGCACTTATATAGGCATAATTCCTTTTATTGTTTTATTTTGCTTGGCAGATAATGCATTTTTTACAACTTAAAGATATGACAACCTTACATGGAGCAAGTCTATTGAGACCATTTCAACAACATGTACTCATTTTGTGTCTTTGTGTCACATTTTGGCAATTCTCCCAGTATTTCAAACTTTTTCATATCATATCTGTTATGGTGATCTGTGATCAGTGATCTTTGGTGTTACTATCGTAATTGTTTTGGGGTGCCATGAACCACATCCATATAAGACAGCAAACTTAATAAAAGTTGTGTGTGTTCTGATGGCTTCACCAATGGCCAATCTCCGGTCTCTCCCGCCTCAGGCCTCTCTAATTCCCTGAGACACAACAATATTGAAATTAAGCAAATTAGTAACCCTACAATGACCTCTAAGTGTTCAAGTGAAAGGAAGTGTCCTATGTCTCTCACTTTAAATCAAAAGCTAGAAATGATTGAGCTTAGTAAAGAAGGCATGTCAAAAGCCAAGGCAGTCTGAAAGCTAAGCCTCTTACACTGAACAGTTAGACAAGTTGTGAGTGCAAAGAGAAAGCTCTTGAAAGAAATTAAAAGTGCTACTCCAGTGAATTCGTGAATGTTAAGCATGCAGAACAGCTTACTGCTGACATGGAGAAAGTTTGAGTGGTCTGGATAGAAGATCAAACGAGCCACAGCATTTCCTTAAGCCAAAGTTTAATCCAGAGAAAAGCTTTAACTCTCTCCAATTCCATGAAGGCTTTAAGAAGTTAGGAAGCTGCAGAGGAAAAGTTTGAAGCTAGCAGAGATTGGTTCATAAGGTTAAAAAATATAAGCCATCTTTATAACATAAAAGTACAAGGTGAAGCAGCAAGTGTTGTTGTAGAAGCTTCAGCAAGTTATCCAGAAGATCTCGTAAAATTTCAGTGTAAACAAAACAGCTTTATATTGGAAGATGCCATCTAGGACTTTCATAGCTAGAGAGGAGAAGTCAGGTCCTGGCTTCAAAGCTCCAAAGAACAGTCTGATTCTCTTGTTGCAAGCTAATGTACCTAGTGACCTTAAATGGAAACTAATGCTCATTTACTATTCTGAAAATCCTAGACCCTAAGGATTTATGCTGAATTTGTTCTAAAGCTACTCTGTCTGTGCTCTATAAATGAAATAACAAAGCTTAGAATTGGATGACAACACGTGTTTGCAACATGTTTTAGTGAACATTTGAAGCCCCCTGTTGAGACCAACTGCAAAGGAAAAAAAAAAGATTCTGTTAATATTACTGCTCACTGACAATGCACTTGGTCACCCAAGAGCTCTATTTAAAATATACAAGGAGATTAATGTTGTTTTCATGCCTGCTAACACAATGTCCATTCTGTAGCCATGGATCAAGTAATGTCAAATTTTAAGTCTTATTATGTAAGAAATACACTTTGTAAAGCTACCTATCAGACCCCTGATAGGTCTGAACAAAATGAATTGAAAACCTGCTGGAAAGGATTTGCCATTCTAGATATCATTAAGGATATTCATGATTCATGGGAGGAGGTCAAAATATTAACATGAGCAGGAGTTTGGAAGATGTTAGTTCCAACCCTCATGGATAACTCTGTGGGGTTCAAGAATGCAGTGGGGAAAGTAACTGCAGATGTGGTGCAACTAACAAGATAAATCGATTAGAAGTGAAACCTGAAGATGCGACTGAATTGCTGCACTCTCATGATAAAACTTGAGCAGATGAGGAGTTAATTCTTATGGATGAGCAAAGAACGTGGTTTCTTTAGATGATGGAATCTACTGTTAGTGAAGAGGCTATGAACATTGTTGAAATGACAAGAAAGGATTATATTATATAAACCTTGTTGATAAAGCAGCATCAGGGTTTGAGAAGATCAACCCCCATTTTGAAAGAAGTTCTATTGTGAGTAAAATGCTGTCAAGCAGCATCACTTGCACAGAGAAATCTTCCTTGAAAGGAAGTGTCAATGAATGCAGCAAACTTCATTGTCTCATTTTAACAAATTGTCATAGTCACCCTAACCTTCAGCAACCACCACCACGATCAGTTAGTTGCCATCAACATGGAGGCAAGACCCTCTACCAAAAAAAAAACATGACAACTTGCTGAAGGTTCAGAAGATCATTAGCATTTTTAGCAATAAAGTATTTTTATAATTAAGGTCTGTACATTGTTTTTTCCATTAATTGCACACTTAATAGACTGCAGTATAGTGTAAACATAACTTTTATATGCACTGGAAAACAAAAAAAGATTGTGTGTGGCTTACTTGACTGCAATATTTGCATTATTAGGATGGTCTGGAAAAAAATCCATAATGCCTGTACTTCGAAAATGGGGTCAGATGGCTAATGGGGCTGGCGAATGGTAATCTGCTGACATAAATACCTAACTCCAGCACAGTTATTTGTATTTGTGATTTGAGGTCCAAAATAATGAGGCCACAACAGGGACTGAGGAAGTGGGATACTCTTTCTAGATTTGACTCCATACCTCTTCTTCTGTCAATTAAACAGTCCTCCAGACAGGATGCTTATTTTATTCCGGCAATAAGTATTGGGCAAGATGTTCAACATGCTGATAAATTATGTAGTAAATAAATTAATTTTATTGAAGTGTATTATTAATTAAGGCATAATGAAATAGTTAGGTGGCCTTTTCATTTGACAGCTAGGAGTTAAAATTTGAGAGAGCTGTTTATTATATAGCACAAATAGCATCAAGATCCCAAAGTAGAGTACGGGAAAGGTATATGTCTATATGCACTAAATGCTCATATTTCTGTTGACTCTCATGCAATTACAATGCACTAGCTACCAAGTCATTTTTGATAGCATTCTCTTAGCTTTTAATTTCTCGTGTGGGGAAAAGATAATAGAAAATCCTCCATTGCTCCAACTACACTACAGTGTAGTCTGTACAGAGTCTGTCTACACTAGAGTGATATAATAAAACCATAGCAGTGATATATGTAGAAGTCACACTTTGTTTAAATGATAATTGTTTCTTTTATGCTGCCATCCAAAGAAATTGTCTAAAAATGGCGATTGATTCACATACTCTCAAATTATTTTATGAACATATTAAGAGACAGTACATGCCATGATTGTGTCTATACCTATATCCATGTGCATGTAACTTCTATATCTATATCCATTTAAAAATGTGTGTATCAGTGATTCTGTGTGTATATACACAATGGAGAATGCTGTTTAGATCTCTAAATGATTTTTCCCTGCCCTTAATCTGTATTTAATCAGGAAACCATTCTGTAATGAGAAAACTGTTCATTTTAGTCTTTTATGTTTGCGATCCCAAGGTTCCTCCTTAGTGATTACATTTAGTAACTCCCTTTCGCTGTCTGAAAGCACAGGCAGTTTTTCCATAATAAAAACTGGATTAGCACGTATCAGGAAGAGACACCACCAGCTGTCACTTTGAAATCAGACCACTCGGCCCTATTTGAGATGACAATGGATAAACTGATAAATGACAGGCAGTTTTCCTATATTTATCTAGTAAGTGGTTAATATGGGCTAACACTGTCTGTAATAAAGCTATAAACAGGGTCAAAGAAGAAAAAAGCTTCATTTGAATAGGATATACATTATTAAGAGAAAAATCCACTATAGCACACTGTATTATTTATTTCATTCAGTTGCGCTATTACAATTGTCACTAATAGTTCCACTTCTCTTTCCTTATTTCTTTTGCTGTCTTCCCATTTGATAATATTACAGTTATGTTACTTCTGCTGTACAAATTCTGAATACATATGTTTAAGGACAAAATCCAAAATGATTAAAACTTTTTTCTTCTAAGAATTTCTGCAAATCATAGCATTTCAGAGAATTCTCTGTAACTGAAATTAGTGAAATAATTTTATTTCTCACTATATTTAGCAAGTCGTATGCTTCAGGCAGACCTCAAATACTGCCACATTGTTAAACTAATCCAAACTACAGTTGAACTAAAATAAACGATGTATGAGCAATATGTATCAATAATGGTTTAGGGAACACTTATATTGATAGTGGGCTATCAGTAATCATTAGGAAATTAAGGGATTGTGATACTCTGATATTTGTCACTTATAGTAATGGCCTTGGGGGTTTAAATGATGACTGCCGGACTTAGGGCCTTTTAGTTAAATAATTTGTTTTTAAGTTTTTCTTCATTCATTAACTAAATTATAAAAATAATAATTATCTTTTCAAGGGTTGAAAATATATACATCAAGAAAAAGTTAATAGTCCTCTCCATTCCCCCCTTTATTTTTGAGCTAATCAATATTATCAGATTGGTATCTGCCTTTACCTGACTTCCTTCATGTTATACCCATGTTAGAGATGATGAAACCAGCAGAGATAGATTAAGTAACTTGCAAAAGATATGGACCTACCAAGTAACATAGCCGGGATTTAAACAAAGGCAGTCCACTTCCAAAACCTACATCAAAACCATTATACTAAAAGGCTGCTTCTGTTAGATTTTATGACCGAATAAGTGAATGAATGATTTAGGTGACATAAAAGTTACATTGACCCCTATGTTTCATTTTGGGTGAGTATAATCATTAATAGATATTGGGTATGAAGGGGATGGAGATTTGGAGTAGGAGTTACATAAATTCATTTTAATTACTTGAGTTGTATTTTAAAGGACATTTGTGCTTTAAATGCTTATAAAACTTCCAAATTGCATATGTCAAGCTGGCACAATAGCAAACCAGAAATGTCTGGATTGGATATACAGAATTGAGAGCAGCAGCATACAAATAGTGCTTAAAGCCATGTATGATAAAGGAAGAGAGACCAAGTCACTTGATGATGCCACGTAAGATGCAAAGTGGAGAAAACTAGAAAGAAAAGACTGAAAAGAAGTAGCCAGAATGCTGAGGCCAAACAAGAAAAAGAGAAGTCACAGAAGCCAAGGATGTTGAGAGTTCTTAAAAGAGTAGTCAAAAATGTCCATCACTTCAGAGAGGCAAATTAAAGGAAAGCTAAAAGGAGAATATTGGATGTGGCAGTTAGAAAATCATTCTACATTTTTTTTTTTGCCAGAACAATTAGTGAAGAGGTAAATAGAAATCATGAAGGTAGAAGGCGTTTTCATAAGTTAGCTAATAAAGGACAGAGATTGATAGGCCAAGGGATTTCAGGGTCACTGTCATTTTATTTGTATTATTTTTCATGGTTTTGTTTTACTTTAAGTAGGAAAAGTAGTTGAGTATATTTAAAAACTGCAGAAAAAGAATCAAGGTGAGGGTAGAAAGATTTCAGGGGATAAAATCTGACCGTTAACCATTGTATATACCCATAGCATCTTCCACGGAATCTGATATCAAGTGGATGTTTGACCTCCTGAACTCTGATCTGAAGAATAATAATACACAAGTTATTCTAAGAAGGAGAAATTCACTTTCTGGAATTTTTGTTTAATGGTGGATACGTTTTCCTCTGGAAAAAAAAATATTTATATATATACCTGGGAATTTGAGAAAGGATTAGACAGTCACTAACCACACATGTCCTGGTTACTCTCGTCACCTCTTACCTTCCGTTTTCTTATAATAGAATGTCTGGTTCCTACAATTTAAGCCCAGTCCTAAAGGCTCCCTTCAGGGCCCTTGGGCACTGTCATGCCATTTGGACGCAGAAACCCAGGCTTCAACACGCCCCTTTCTTCACCTTGCGGTATATGTGTGATGTCTCCTCAGTTAAAAGATAGGTGATTCAGGGGTCTGTCAGCACACATGTTCCATTAGACAAACATTGCCCCCAAACTCACCCAGTCTCTGCCCTTTGCAGACACTGGGAAGGGCTGTTGAGGCTGTTATCTATCACTGTGCCCTAGCTACCTGTGACCGAATGTTCCTAGAGACTCCCTTAACCTCCAAATTCTCAGAAACTAAAGTACTAAAGTACTTTTACACTCCAGTTTATTTTTCCTAGTACCAGAGTTTATACCCTGCATGCTTGCTGGGGGTTGCAATGTAGTACACCCACATACAAACACAAACACACATACACACACACACACACACACACACACAATCATAATGTGTAGCTATACATAATATTATATATATTATATCAGATAATATGATTTTCTAAAATTACTATTATACAGAAATGTAAGGATTGGCCAGTTGAACACTAAATGACCTAATTTGTTAATAATGCTATTATACCCTTAACTTCCAAATTTAAAGTTTTAACCTTTAAATCTCGAGAGTTATACTAAAGGTTTTTGGACATAAGCTATTTTTAGAAGGGAGGGGGTTCAATGATTAAAATCACATATACCAAAATTACTGTGCTTTTTTAGTAAGAAAATAACTGAAAGAACTGTCTAAACTCTCACTTCTATGCTTATCGTGAATTTACGTTTTTAATTAAGCACTTAATTAAATACTTAATTGTAGGTGTTTTTGGAATCTCAACCCCTTTCACATATGAATGTCTATTTTAAGAGATCAATGAACAATTTTCCAACATTATGCTTTGTTATTTCATATTCTATTCACATGTGTTAGTTGGCCAGTTTCTTTTTGGTTACCTTAATGTCTTTCTTTTTTTAAGATTACAGATATAATCTTAGTCATTTTTGCCATTATTTATAAAACCCAAAAATAACATGCATAAGGTCTTTTCCCTTTGCCATTGTTTTACTCAAATAAGATTAAACTTAAGTTTCTAAATGTGGGAAACCTTAACTAGAATAGCGTCTCAAAGAGAAACAAAGGTTCTTTTTTTCCCCTTAAAATCTGTGTATAATTTTCATAGTTCTGTACTTGATTTGGTGTTTCATTAACTCATCTATTAAGATTTGATTTAGACTATTATGACTGATGTGGATAATATACCAGACCCCTGTCCCATAACAGTAACTCAAGTTCAAAATAACATTTTTTTATTATTCTGTTGCCAGGTAATTAAAAGCATATAAAAGCACCCATAAAATTATCAGATACCTGAAAAACTCTCTCTTTGATTACTCATTGGTCATTCACCTCTATTGTTCTTTGTGCAAAGAACCTGATTTTGTATGGGTATGGGACAGTCATATGCTTAAGATGAGATGGGACACTCTCCACTCTCATCTCATGAAGTTTGCTAGGACCAGTGGCTGAGTTTTGATTAGTGTGAGTCAGTCATCAGGAATCTTGTCTCCTTGACCATGGTTGTTCAAGAACAGGCATGCAATGGAATTCTGACTGACAGGCTGTAGAAAAAGACAGTACTTGATAAATCTCTTATAAAGAGACATCAGAAGAAACATTTTCCCATCTAGTTCTTGAAACTGTATTGTGAGAGAACATGATACTTGGAGCTTTTGTAGCCATTTTATGACTATAACAAAATAAATTCGAGGTCAAAGCCAGCATAATGAGGATGTCAGAACTGAGTTATGAAACATACCTTGGCGGGGAGGAGCCAAGATGGCCGAGTAGGAACAGCTCCGGTCTACAGCTCCCAGCTTGAGCGACGCAGAAGACGGGTGATTTCTGCATTTCCATCTGAGGTACCGGGTTCATCTCACTAGGGAGTGCCAGACAGTGGGCGCAGGTCAGTGAGTGCGTGCACCGTGCGCGAGCCGAAGCAGGGCGAGGCACTGCCTCACTTGGGAAGGGCAAGGGGTCAGGGAGTTCCCTTTCCCAGTCAAAGAAAGGGGTGACGGACAGCACCTGGAAATCGGGTCACTCCAACCGGAATACTGCGCTTTTCCGACGGGCTTAAAAAACGGCGCACCACGAGATTATAACCCCCACCTGGCTCGGAGGGTCCTATGCCCAGGGAGTCTCACTGATTGCTAGCACAGCAGTCAGAGATCAAACTGCAAGGCGGCAGCGAGGCTGGGGGAGGGGCGCCCGCCATTGCCCAGGCTTGCTTAGGTAAACAAAGCAGCCGGGAAGCTCGAACTGGGTGGAGCCCACCACAGCTCACGGAGGCTTGCCTGCCTCTGTAGGCTCCACCTCTGGGGGCAGGGCACAGACAACAAAAAGACAACAGTAACTTCTGCAGACTTAAATGTCCCTGTCTGACAGCTTTGAAGAGAGCAGTGGTTCTCCCAGCACGCAGCTGGAGATCTGAGAACGGGCAGACTGCCTCCTCAAGTGGGTCCCTGACCCCTGACCCCCGAGCAGCCTAACTGGGAGGCAACCCCCAGCAGGGGCACACTGACACCTCACACGGCAGGGTATTCCAACAGACCTGCAGCTGAGGGTCCTGTCTGTTAGAAGGAAAACTAACAAACAGAAAGGACATCCACACCAAAAACCCATCTGTACATCACCATCATCAAAGACCAAAAGTAGATAAAACCACAAAGATGGGGAAAAAACAGAACAGAAAAACTGGAAACTCTAAAACGCAGAGCGCCTCTCCTCCTCCAAAGGAACGCAGTTCCTCACCAGCAACGGAACAAAGCTGGATGCAGAATGACTTTGACGAGCTGAGAGAAGAAGGCTTCAGACGATCAAATTACTCTGAGCTATGGGAGGACATTCAAACCAAAGGCAAAGAAGTTGAAAACTTTGAAAAAAATTTAGAAGAATGTATAACTAGAATAACCAATACAGAGAAGTGCTTAAAGGAGCTGATAGAGCTGAAAACCAAGGCTCGAGAACTACGTGAAGAATGCAGAAGCCTCAGGAGCCAATGCGATCAACTGGAAGAAAGGGTATCAGCAATGGAAGAGGAAATGAATGAAATGAAGCGAGAAGGGAAGTTTAGAGAAAAAAGAATAAAAAGAAATGAACAAAGCCTCCAAGAAATATGGGACTATGTGAAAAGACCAAATTTATGTCTGATTGCTGTACCTGAAAGTGATGGGGAGAATGGAACCAAGTTGGAGAACACACTGCAGGATATTATCCAGGAGAACTTCCCCAATCTAGCAAGGCAGGCCAACGTTCAGATTCAGGAAATACAGAGAATGCCACAAAGATACTCCTCGAGAAGAGCAACTCCAAGACACATAATTGTCAGATTCACCAAAGTTGAAATGAAGGAAAAAATGTTAAGGGCAGCCAGAGAGAAAGGTCGGGTTACCCACAAAGGGAAGCCCATCAGACTAACAGCGGATCTCTCGGCAGAAACCCTACAAGCCAGAAGAGAGTGGGGGCCAATATTCAACATTCTTAAAGAAAAGAATTTTCAACCCAGAATTTCATATCCAGCCAAACTAAGCTTCATAAGCGAAGGAGAAATAAAATACAGACAAGCAAATGCTGAGAGATTTTGTCACCACCAGACCTGCCCTAAAAGAGCTCCTGAAGGAAGCGCTAAATATGGAAAGGAACAACCGGTACCAGCCGCTGCAAAATCATGCCAAAATGTAAAGACCATCGAGACTAGGAAGAAACTGCATCAACTAATGAGCAAAATAACCAGCTAACATCATCATGACAGGATCAAATTCACACATAACAATATTAACTTTAAATGCAAATGGACTAAATGCTCCAATTAAAAGACACAGACTGGCAAATTGGATAAAGAGTCAAGACCCATCAGTGTGCTGTATTCAGGAAACCCATCTCACGGGCAGAGACACACACAGGCTCAAAATAAAAGGATGGAGGAAGATCTACCAAGCAAATGGAAAACAATAAAAGGCAGGGGTTGCAATCCTAGTCTCTGATAAAACAGACTTTAAACCAACAAAGATCAAAAGAGACAAAGAAGGCCACTATATAATGGTAAAAGGATCAATTCTACAAGAGGAGCTAACTATCCTAAATATATATGCACCCAATACAGGAGCACCCAGATTCATAAAGCAAGTCCTGAGTAACCTACAAAGAGACTTAGACTCCCACTCATTAATAATGGGAGACTTTAACACCCCACTGTCAACATTAGACAGATCAACGAGACAGAAAGTCAACAAGGATACCCAGGAATTGAACTCAGCTCTGCACCAAGCGGACCTAATAGACATCTACAGAACTCTCCACCCCAAATCAACAGAATATACATTTTTTTCAGCACCACACCACACCTATTCCAAAATTGACCACATACTGGGAAGTAAAGCTCTCCTCAGCAAATGTAAAAGAACAGAAATTATAACAAACTATGTCTCAGACCACAGTGCAATCAAACTAGAACTCAGGATTAAGAATCTCACTCAAAACTGCTCAACTACATGGAAACTGAACAACCTGCTCCTGAATGACTACTGGGTACATAACGAAATGAAGGCAGAAATAAAGATGTTCTTTGAAACCAATGAGAACAAAGACACAACATACCAGAATCTCTGGGACGCATTCAAAGCAGTGTGTAGAGGGAAATTTATAGCACTAAATGCCCACAAGAGAAAGCAGGAAAGATCCAAAATTGACACCCTAACATCACAATTAAAAGAACTAGAAAAGCAAGAGCAAACACATTCAAAAGCTAGCAGAAGGCAAGAAATAACTAAAATCAGAGCAGAACTGAAGGAAATAGAGACACAAAAAACCCTTCAAAAAATTAATGAATCCAGGAGCTGCTTTTTTGAAAGGATCAACAAAATTGATAGACCACTAGCAAGACTAATAAAGAAAAAAAGAGAGAAGAATCAAATAGACGCAATAAAAAATGATAAAGGGGATATCACCACCAATCCCACAGAAATACAAACTACCATCAGAGAATACTACAAACACCTCTATGCAAATAAACTAGAAAATCTAGAAGAAATGGATAAATTCCTCGACACATACACTCTCCCAAGACTAAACCAGGAAGAAGTTGAATCTCTGAATAGACCAATAACAGGATCTGAAATTGTGGCAATAATCAATAGGTTACCAACCAAAAAGAGTCCAGGACCAGATGGATTCACAGCTGAATTCTACCAGAGGTACAAGGAGGAACTGGTACCGTTCCTTCTGAAACTATTCCAATCAATAGAAAAAGAGGGAATCCTCCCTAACTCATTTTATGAGGCCAGCATCATTCTGATTCCAAAGCCTGCCAGAGACACAACAAAAAAAGAGAATTTTAGACCAATATCCTTGATGAACATTGATGCAAAAATCCTCAATAAAATACTGGCAAAACAAATCCAGCAGCACATCAAAAAGCTTATCCACCATGATCAAGTGGGCTTCATCCCTGGGATGCAAGGCTGGTTCAATATACGCAAATCAATAAATGTAATCCAGCATATAAACAGAGCCAAAGACAAAAACCACAGGATTATCTCAATAGATGCAGAAAAGGCCTTTGACAAAATTCAACAACCTTCATGCTAAAAACCCTCAATAAATTAGGTATTGATGGGACGTATTTCAAAATAATAAGAGCTATCTATGACAAACCGACAGCCAATATCATACTGAATGTGCAAAAACTGGAAGCATTCCCTTTGAAAACTGGCACAAGACAGGGATGCCGTCTCTCACCACTCCTATTCAACATAGTGTTGGAAGTTCTGGCCAGGGCAATTAGGCAGGAGAAGGAAATAAAGGGTATTCATTTAGGAAAAGAGGAAGTCAAATTGTCCCTGTTTGCAGACGACATGATTGTATATCTAGAAAACCCCATTGTCTCAGCCCAAAATCTCCTTAAGCTGATAAGCAACTTCAGCAAAGTCTCAGGATACAAAATCAATGTACAAAAATCACAAGCATTCTTATACACCAAGAACAGACAAACAGAGAGCCAAATCATGAGTGAACTCCCATTCACAATTGCTTCAAAGAGAATAAAATACCTAGGAATCCAACTTACAAGGGACATGAAGGACCTCTTCAAGGAGAACTACAAACCACTGCTCAAGGAAATAAAAGAGGATACAAACAAATGGAAGAACATTCCATGCTCATGGGTAGGAGGAATCAATATCGTGAAAATGGCCATACTGCCCAAGGTAATTTACAGATTCAATGCCATCCCCACCAAGCTACCAATGCCTTTCTTCACAGAATTGGAAAAAACTACTTTAAAGTTCATATGGCACCAAAAAAGAGCCCGCATTGCCAAGTCAATCCTAAGCCAAAAGAACAAAGCTGGAGGCATCACACTACCTGACTTCAAACTATACTACAAGGCTACAGTAACCAAAACAGCATGGTACTGGTACCAAAACAGAGATATAGATCAATGGAACAGAACAGAGCCCTCAGAAATAACGCCGCATATCTACAACTACCTGATCTTTGACAAACCTGAGAAAAACAAGCAATGGGGAAAGGATTCCCTATTTAATAAATGGTGCTGGGAAAACTGGCTAGCCATATGTAGAAAGCTGAAACTGGATCCCTTCCTTAACACCTTACACAAAAATCAATTCAAGATGGATTAAAGACTTAAACGTTAGACCTAAAACCATAAAAACCCTAGAAGAAAACCTAGGCATTACCATTCAGGACATAGGCATGGGCAAGGACTTCATGTCTAAAACACCAAAGCAATGGCAACAAAAGCCAAAATTGACAAATGGGATCTAATTAAACTAAAGAGCTTCTGCACAGCAAAAGAAACTACCATCAGAGTGAACAGGCAACCTACAAAATGGGAGAAAATTTTCGCAACCTACTCATCTGACAAAGGGCTAATATCCAGAATCTACAATGAACTCCAACAAATTTACAAGAAAAAAAACAAACGACCCCATCAAAAAGTGGGCGAAGGACATGAACAGACACTTCTCAAAAGAAGACATTTATGCAGCCAAAAAACACATGAAAAAATGCTCATCATCACTGGCCATCAGAGAAATGCAAATGAAAACCACAATGAGATACCATCTCACAGCAGTTAGAATGGCAATCATTAAAAAGTCAGGAAACAACAGGTGCTGGAGAGGATGTGGAGAAATAGGAACACTTTTACACTGTTGGTGGGACTGTAAACTAGTTCAACCATTGTGGAAGTCAGTGTGGTGATTCCTCAGGGATCTAGAACTGGAAATACCATTTGACCCAGCCATCCCATTACTGGGTATATACCCAAAGGACTATAAATCATGCTGCTATAAAGACACAGGCACACGTATGTTTACTGCAGCATTATTCACAATAGCAAAGACTTGGAACCAACCCAAATGTCCAACAATGATAGACTGGATTAAGAAAATGTGGCGCATATACACCATGGAATACTATGCAGCCATAAAAAATGATGAGTTCATGTCCTTTGTAGGGACATGGATGAAATTGGAAATCATCATTCTCAGTAAACTATCGCAAGAACAAAAAACCAAACACCGCATATTCTCACTCATAGGTGGGAATTGAACAATGAGATCACATGGACACAGGAAGAGGAATATCACACTCTGGGGACTGTTGTGGGGTGGGGTGAGGGGGGAGGGATAGCATCGGGAGATATACCTAATGCTAGATGACGAGTTAGTGGGTGCAGCGCACCAGCATGGCACATGTATACATATGTAACTAACCTGCACAATGTGCACATGTACCCTAAAACTTAAAGTATAATAATTTAAAAAAAAAGAAAAAGAAAAAAGAAAAGCAATGTTCAACTCTGTGAGATGAATGCACACATCACAAAGAAAAAAAAATACCTTGATCCTTGATCATAGCACATAATACTAAATTAATGAATCTTCAAATATTCCTACATCTCTGTTCCTTTTTCACTAAATAAAGTCAGTTTAAGAAGGTCATATAATACAAGGTCAATACAAACAATTAGGAGTATTCCTGTATAATGGCAACATAAAATTGGATTTCTTTAGTGTCACTGGATAAAACATTCAGGATAAAATTAATAAGTTATGTGCAATATTTATACCCTGAAAACTAAAAAAAACTGCTCAAAGAAATGAAAGAGGACCTAGAAAAACTGATTTATAGATTCAATGTAGCTTCAATCAAAATCCAAATAGGCCTTTTGTAGATATTGCAAGATGATTCTAAAATGTATGTGAAATGCAGTGACCTGTGTAATAACCAAAATAATCTTTAAAATGAAGAACAAATCTGGAGAACTTACACTGTCCTATTTCAAGAATTACAACAAAGCTACAGTAATCAAGACATTGTGATACTGACAAAGAATAGACATTCAAATCAACGGAATGGAAATAATTCAGAAATAAAAGTAATACATGTGTCATAAACTGATTTTTGACAAAGGTGTCAGGGTAATTCAACAGAGTAAAATAGTCTTTTCAACAATGGTTCTGGAACAGCTGGATATGTTTATACAAGAAAAAAAATAAACCTTGACCCTTACTACACATCATTTGCAAAAATTAACTCAAAATCAGCCATAGAGCTAAATGTAGCAGTTAAACCTATAAAACTTCTAGAAAAAAAAAAAAAAGAAAAACAGGAGAAATTCTTTGTGACTTTATGATAGTTAAAGTTTTTTTGATATTATTCCAAAACCTAGATTCATATAAGAAAAAAATAAAGGTACATTGTACTTCTCCCAAAATGAAAAACTTTTACTCTGTTAAAAAAAAAAAAAAAGAAAAACTTTGAGAATATGTGACGGATCATCTTCTTACAACTCAATAATTGGAAAACAATCAATCTCATTTAAAAGTTGAGCAAAAATGGGCTAAAGACTTGAGTAAATAGTTTCCTGATGAATTGCAAACAAGCACATTAAAAAAATGTCAACACCATTGTTTATCAGGAAAATGCAAATTCAGATAACAATGAGATACTACTACATGCTCATTTATCTTAGTCATTCCAAGATGCTAAAACAAAATGCCATAAACTGGGTGGTTTAAACAATACGTATTTATTCCTCACAGTTCTAGAGGCTGAGAAGTCCCAGATTAAGATAACAGCAGTTTGTTTCTTGGTGAGGGTCCACTTCCTGGCTTGCAAGCAGCCTCCTCACTGTACCCTCATAAGACAGAGAAAGAAAGCTCTGGAGTCTATTCCTCTTCTTGTAAGAGATATTAATACATCATGGAGCCCCTACCCTCATGATGACATCTAAACCTTATTACCCCACTAAGGCCCTACCAGCCATTTCCATCATATTGGTCATTAGGGCTTCAACAAATGAATTTTGGGGAGGAAGAAACATTCAGTTCATAGTACCACTTGAATGACTAAAATTAAAAAGACTGACCATACCAAGTGTTATTGAGAATGTGATGCCGTTGGAATTCTAATACATTGATTGTGAAAATGCAATGCAAAATTATAACAGCCACTTTAGGAAAGAATTTGTCAACATCTTATACAGTTAAACATAAATTTACTCTAAGGCCCAGCGATATCACTTCTAGGTATTTCCCTAATAGAAATGAAAGTATATTTTCTCACAGAAGCATGAACTCCAATATTTATAAGGCTTTATTAACAACAGACAAAAACTGGAGTACTTATCAATTGGTGAATAAATAATTTGTTGAATATAATGAATATTAAGTCAGCAACGAAACAACTACTGATACACATAACAACATAGAAACATTTCAAAAGTGTTATGTTAAATAAAAACAAGCCAGAAACAAAGACTACATACCTTATGATTCTATTTTTATGAAATTCTGAGAAAGGCAAAGATGGAAATCAGGTCAATTGTTTCCAAGGGCTGATGGGGGAAATAGGGAGGAATTTACTACAAGGAGCACAGGGGACATTTTGGGGTGATGGAAATATTCTACATTATGATTGTGGTTTAAATTTTCAGATACATATATTTTCAAAACTTATTGAATTGTGATTTTATTTTATGTGAATTATATCAATAAACCTGATAAAACTTAAATGTATTTTGCTTGTTACTGCACCCCTTCACTCCTTTCTTTATCCTCTTCAACCAAGAAAAAGAACACCTAGACTATGATCCTTTGATGCTGTGACAATTTTGAGGAATGTAAACACTTTGCAAAATGTTTCCATTTTTTTTCACTAATTCTGACTCTCTGAAAAATAGTATATGTTCCAGGAATTACATTTTTTTAGGATAAAAGCACTGACATTGCAAGTACTATTTTGTTTCTTGAGGCAACAAATGCCAAACGTTGTGGGAATTCAGACCAAAGAATTAGACAAGAGAGAATAATATATGGT